>NC_000012.12:109278309-109429824 GCF_000001405.40 Homo sapiens
CAACATCCATCTGGTGGAAAGAGGGGGATGGTGCGTGAGGCTGCAGCTTCTCCAATTTTGTCTCAGCTTTGCTGGGAGAGCATTTTTCACATTTGACTAGCTCACTCCCCTGTCTCTCTTCTAACCCAGCTATCTGCGGAACTTGCCACTTGGGGAGTCAGTAATTAGCAAGGAGAGAAAAAGAAGCATAAAAACAGCTGCAGGGCAAAGGGAGGTGAGGAAGTGCCAATAAATATCATGCGTTGAAGTTTTGTCCACCACTTGCCACGTGGTTCGAGCTTTACGTGGTTCAGTTGGCTTTCATTCCATCAGGGGTGTCTTAAATCCCAGTACAAAAGCACCCCCCTCCAGTTCCTCCCTCTCCCATCGCATTTTCCCCTTTGAAAGCCCCCCAAGCCCCCAAACAATGGCACCGCCCCTCTTAGGTACATGCAAGAAGAGATGTGAATCATGAACAGGTAGAAAAATATCTGGTCTCTAATACGGAAAAAATGGGATGTTTCACAGTATCAACAGTGCTTGCTGGTTCTAAAAAGTAGCCCCAGGCTGCCAAGGGATTATGAGCCAGTTAGAGATGTCATTCTCTGGCCTGTAGGAGTTAGGATGGCTGGGAGGTAGGGAGGGAGAAGGAGTCCCATTCCAGAGGCCTCGGGATGGGTTTGCAGAAGTGGGGTGGATGGGCCACAATAAATATAAATAAATTTACACAAGGTCACGGTACCCGGCATGGCCCAGGAATCTGCGCTAATAAAATTCTAACAGACTATCGGAAAGGTGGGGCTGAAGGCCACCTGGACCGGCTCCCATTTCAGAGTTCAGCTTGTCCTGTCCAAGAGAGAGGCTCAAGCTTCTCCGGCTCCATTTCCCGCCCTGGGCCTGTCCCCCGGAGGCTGCGGCTGAGGTTTGATCCACTCAGCCATTTCCCATGAGGATGAATTCAAGGGCTTTCACCCCAGGGTGTTTCCTTAATGCACCAAGGTGTCCCAAAATGGGGTGCAGGTCACTGAGGTCACGCAGCCAGGATCCAGGATGGAGAAGTCTCACTCAACACGGGCAGGCATTGCGGCTCAGGCCTCGGAGGAGTGTCAAGGGGTCGGGGGATGCTGGGTTGCTTGTCCACCTTCCTCCATTCTTCTGACTTGGAAGAGCCCCCAGAAACTGCTCCGGAAGCTCCAGGGGGAGGCACGAGAAGGAGAGGGGCTGCTGAGGGGAACCGCTTCCCTGTCCAGCCGGCAACTTCGCCACAGGTCCAGGAGAGGCTTCGGGGACAATGAGGGACCTGCCTTCTGGGAACACCCTGTTCTAGTCAGTTCTCTGCCCAAGCCGGGTGCCGGGGTTCCAGGGCAGGTGAGGCTGACAGCTCAAAGCAGGGCTATAGGCTTGTTCCCCTGTGCACCCAGGTACTGGGAGGAGGAGCTGGTGCCCGATGCAGCCACACTGTCCGGAGTGGAGTACGCTGTGTAGAGACCCGTCACCTGCAAGTCTGGGAAGGACTGGTCGCTGCCACCCGAGGCAGGGGTTAGGCCTGAGGCCCCCAGGTCACAGCCAAGCGGGGAGTCTGCAAAGGCGCCCAGTGTGTCCAAGCTGAATCCCTCATCCTTCATCTCCTCCCACAGGTTCCCTTTCAAAGACAAAAGCATTAGGGTGAGCTGGCTTCCCATCAAATGACCTGAGTTCGAATCCCCCATCTTAGGGAAGAGGCAGAGACCATGTGTGGTGTCTAAGTCATGTGTTGTAGAAAAAGGGCATGGGGCCGGGCCTGGTGGCTCAAGCCTGTAATCCCAGCACTTTGGGAGGCCGAGGTGGGTGGATCACTTGAGGCCAGGAGTTCAACGCCAGCCTGGCCAACATGGCAAAACCCCATCTCTACTAAAAATACAAAAATTAGCCTGGGCTGGTAGCGCACACCTGTAATCCCAGCTACTTGGGAGGCTGAGGCACAAGAATCACTTGAACCCAGGAGTTGGAGGCTGCAGTGAGCAGAGATTGTGCCACTGCGCTACAGCCTGGGTGACAGAGTGAGACTCCACCTCAAAAAAAAAAAAAAAAAAAAAAAAGCATGGAAGGGCCAGAGTCGCAGCAGCCCCGGGCCCTCACCTTCCCACTGAATGTCCTTGGGAAAGTCACTTCCATCTCAGAACCTCAGAATAAGATGGAAATGATCAGTGAACCCAGCTCCTAAGGCTGTGGCACGGGTTAAACAAGAGGACTTGTGAAAAGCATTTAGTTCTCATGGTATCATTATGGTCAAAGCCAGGGGGACAAGACAATGTTTCTCTTTCTTCAGCACGTTGAACTACACAACAATCCAGGGGGAAAGAGGCAGGGAGGTGCAAATATACCCACTTCACAGCTGCAGCTGACTTGCCACTTGTCCATTTCCCTCGCTAGAGACAGAACTCAGGGCAGAGGCTGTCTCCACCCTTGGCTGGAACATAAGAGCTGCACCTGTGCTAGTGAATGGATGAAGTCTGAGCCTTCACTGAAACCTGAAATTCCCTTGTTCGTTCATTCATCACGTCCCATTTATTGGAGATGATCATGCGGCAAGGCAGCAGGTCAGAGTGTGACCTGGCATGGGGCTGGCACATGTGAGTTGAAGCAGTTACTGATGAAAACTTTGGGGTCAGACCGAGGTTTAACTCCGGACTCTGCCACTTACTAGCCAGGTGACCTTGGGTGAGTGACTTCACTTCTCTCTGCCTCAGTTTCCTCATTGGCAGAACAGGGATGTGGAATGGTGGTGACCTCAGGTGATGCCTATGGAATGCTTTGGCCCGGTATACAGCAAATGCTCATTCCCTGTTGGCTGCCATTGGCTATAACAGGTTGAACATCCCTAATCCAACCAAACATCTGAAATCTGAACTGCTCCAACGAGCATGACATTTGAGTGTCTTGTCGGAGCTCAAAAATTTTTGGATTTTGGAGCATTTTGGATTTCCGGATTAGGGATGTTCAACTTGTAAAGGTTGTTGCTATGGGAACAAGACTGTGGGGCAAATGCAGGCAGTACAGTCCTCTCCCTCACTCCCTTTGGCCCCCGGGCCTCTCCCCTCCCCATTCCATTCCCATCACTCCATTCCTCCAGCCTCACCCTGCAGAGCGAAGTCCATGATGCTCGGGTCGAGGGCATCCACCTCAGTGTTCATGTCGGTGCTGATGTTGATGAAGTCTACAGGAGCCCTTCCCATGGCGGGGTGGGGGAGCGGGCTGGGGCTGAGGTCCGGCAGGGCGTGCAGTGGCGGGGTCTGGGCTGGTGCTGGAGAGTCTGGAGCAAGATGTGCCTGGGGCTGGACCTGGTGGTGCAGGGGGACTGACTGCAGGGACAGGGTCATCAGTGGCTGGGGTGGGAGCTGGGAGACAGCCAGGCAGCCATGCGCCACGGCCACTGTGGTGGCGTGAGTCAGCACGGGGGCCTCTGGTTCCCCCGGTTTGCCGGGGCGCCGGCAGCTTTCAGGCCGGTCGGAGATCAGCTTGTCCAACTCCTCTGCAGGCAAGTGGGAGAGGTCACTCAGAACCCACCCAGCAGTTACCGGGCCCCAGCCCAGGCCTGGGTTCAAATTCCAGTGTCACCACCTGTGTGACCTTAGCAAGCCTCTTGGACACTCAGAACCTCTGTCTCCTCACCTATGAAATGACACAGGCATCATCTCATCTCACAACTTACATTGCCACCCATTGTAAATGAAGGTGTCTATTAAATACTTCTCTGCGTCCTAGCCCATGCTGGGTGTCAATATTTTATTATTTTAAACATCTCTGCCCATCTAGCAAAACATCATACCCTCTGCACACGGTTGTTGTGGAAATGTAACAAAATCACAGACTGTGCAGAATCTTTGAGGAATAAGAGACGACATCAAAGGCTGGGCTCATGCAATCCCAGTGCTTTGGGAGGCTGAAGCAGGAGGACAGCTTGAGGCCAAGAGTTCAAGATTAGCCTGAACAACATAGTGAGCTACCATCTCTACAAAAAATAAAAAATATGAGCTGGGCTTGGTGGTGTGTGCCTGTAGTACCAGCTACTTGGGAGGCTGAGGTGGGGGGATCACTTGAGCCCAGGAGGTTGAGGCTGCAGTAAGACATGATTGCACTACTGTACTCCAGCCTGGGTGATAGAGCAAGACCCTGCCTTTAAAAAAAAAATGTCATCAGATAATAACACTAGCCCCTTTCATCTTTCATCGGGACAGTGCCTTACAGGACAGCCCTGTAACCCTAGGGCTTCACTTAAATCTCATAACAGCCCTGCAAGAAGGAGGTAAGGCCGCGATTACAAATCCCATAAGACTGGGACAAAATGTATTAACATGCAAGGGGCCCTAGCCACTCCCTGCTACTAAAGAGACATTAAGAAGTGTTGCTGTGGGTTAAAAATCCTTAACACTCTTGGATATAAACAAGTAAAGACAAATTACTCTCATATTATTTTTGATTAATGGCTATGTCTTGTTGAGTGCAACACAGGGTTGATAGTAGACTGGTAGGGTCCCCAGATCTATTTGGGTTGTACCCATTTGAGAAATGAGAGCACTTAGAATGTAGAAGGCAAAATAACTTGCCCAAGACTTCACTCCGAATATGTGTCAGTACTGGCCCTGGGTCTCAAGCCAGACCCCAGAGCTCTCGGTGGGGTGGGCGCGATGTCATACCCCCTCAACTGAGGGACCATTGGCTCCTGCTATAGCCCTTCTCCCTGCCTTGAGTTGTTCATCCCCAAGCCACACTGCTAGCCCCATTCCTACACCGCATGGTGATACCCAACAGACTCTGGCCATACTCCGAAGGCTGGGGCACAATTAGCCTCCACGTCACAGTCCCCATGCATATGTCCCTTGGATGGCCCCTCCTCAAATCCATTAATTTTTTTTTTAAAAGCAGATGCAATCCTTTTTCTAATTAGGAACAGGATAGAAGTTTTGGAAAATACAGAAATATGTGAAAAATATAAAAGTTATCAATGGTCTCTCCATTCACAGTAAAGATTTTGGTGTATTTCTTCCCAAACACACAAGCATATTTATTCTCATTCTCTCACTCGCTCTCTCTCAGATACATACATTTTTGGGAGGGAAGTGAATATGGATATATATGTATTTTAAAATATGATCTTGCTGTGGATATTGATTATAACCTGCCCCTTTTCACTTATTGTTTGAGAACTTTTTTTTTTTTTTTTTTGAGATGGAGTCTTGCTCTGTCACCCAGGCTGGAGTACAGTGGCTTGATCTCGGGTCACTGCAACCTCCGCCTCCTGGGTTCAAGTGATTCTCCTGCCTCAGCCTCCTAAGTAGCTGGGATTACAGGCACCTGCCACCATGCCTGGCTAATTTTTGTATTTTTAGTAGAGATGGGGTTTCACCATGTTGGCCAGGCTGGTCTTGAACTCCTGACCTCAGGTGATCCACCCGCCTTGGCCTCCCAAAGTGCTGGGATTATGGGCATGAGCCACCGCACCCGGCCTAACATTTATTTATGTTCCAAAAATATTTTAAAATATTTCTCATTTCTAATACTTGCATGGTATGCCATTCTATTTATTTAACCAACCCCTATTGTGAGATGTCTGGACTGCTTTCTGTGTTTCACTCTTAGAAATAATTTTGTGATGGATAACTTTGTTCACAAACCTTCTGCTCAAATCTTTGCTCTTCACAGTACACATCATCAGAAGTAGAATAATTGGACCAATCCATGGGTACCATTTGCAGGTGTTTGATATATTAGCTTTCCCTCAAAAAGTTTAACAGCTTAAATTCCTATCCATTATATACGAAGCTCTCTATTGTTCCACATCCTAGCCCACACTGAGTGTTACTATTTTAAACATCTCTGACAATGTGGTAGGAAAGCAATGTGTAACCCATGGTTGTGTAGTTTGGCATTTCTGGGCAAGAAACTATGGATGACAAGTGAGATCCAACAGCTTTTCCTGTTTTTGATCAGGCCCCTCTACTACTCCTGCCACTGGATAGGGTTGGGGAGGGGGAGGCCTATTTCATAGGAGGGAGGGAGGTTTGCCAGACGCCTGTCTTCCCATCATCCTGGCTGAGAAGTGTTGGAGACTGGGTAGGGCATAGGCAGAGCTGGGGCTGGGCTGGGAGGAGGGGCGCGTGGTGTGTGTGTGCATGCATATGTGTGCGTGCATGTGTGCGTGTGCGCACACACTAGGGGCTGCCCGGGCCTCTTGGCCATGCTCTGGTGGATGGTGGCCAGGTCCTTCCTCTTCCACTTGTGTGTGCGCACGTGTGTGTGCGTGCGTGTGTGTGTGCGCGCTGTGGGCTGTCCGGGCCTCACCAGAGTTGGCCATGCTCTAGTAGATGGTGGCTAGGTCCTTCCTCTTCCACGTGTGTGTGCGCACATGTGTGTGTGTGCATCCAGGCCTCACCGGGGTTGGCTACGCTCCGGTGGATGGCGGCCAGGTCCTTCCTCTTCTGTGTGTGTGTGTTTGTGCATTTGTGTGCATTTGTGTGTGTGCGCACATGCTGTGGGCTATCTGGGCCTCACTGGGGTTGGCCATGCTCCAGTGGATGCCAGCCAGGTCCTTCCTCTTCTGCGTGTGTGTGTGCACGCATGTGTGTATTGGTCTGTGTGTGCATTTGTGTGTGTGTGCGTGCTGCAAGCTGTCTGGGCCTCACCGGGATTGGCCATGCTCCAGTGGATGGCAGCCAGGTCCTTCCTCTTCTGCGTGTGTGCGTGCATTTGTGTGCACAGGTGTGTGAGTGCATTTGTGTGTGTGCGCGCATGTGTGCATCTGGGCCTCACTGGGGTTGCCCATGCTCCGGTGGATGGCAGCCAGGTCCTTCCTCTTCTGTGTGCGTGTGCGTGTATTTGTGTGTGTGCGCATATTTGTGTGTGTGCGCGTGCGTATGCATCGGCTTCACCAGGGTTGGCCATGCTCTGGTGGATGTCGGCCAGGTCCTTCCTCTTCCGTGTGTGTGTGTGTGTGTGTGTGTGTGTGTGCGCGCACTGCGGGCTGTCCGGCCCTCACCAGGGTTGGCCATACTCCGGTGGATGGCAGCCAGGTCCTTCCTCTTCCACTTGTGCATCTCCTCCTCCATCTTGTCGATGCGGGCCAGGTTCAGAGCCCACAGGCAGCCCTTGCGGGAGGAGCCGCTCATCTTGTTCTCCACCTTCTCGAAGCACTTGTTCAGAGACAGGTTGTGCCGCACCGAGTTCTTCCACCCGTCGGGGGCCGTCTATGAAGACACATGGGCATTCAGAGGCCTCCCTGTAAGCCCTTCCCCCTACCCCGGGGATCTCCTACTCAGGCCTATAGGGGCAGGACACCGCGGTGGCAGGAGTAATTTGACAGTGCCTGACACTCAGCCTCAAGTTGGAGAGACAAGAGAGAGTGCTGGGGACTGAGGCCAACTGGTGTGGCCATGCCCTGATGAGAGGGGAACTACAGTTCAGCTCTGGCCAACTGTTACTATAGGAGGATGCAGCCTGGCCTGCTGGATCTTCCATATTCTCTCTCCCATTCAGGAAGCAAGCAAGGAAGAATGATGCCAATAAATGGATAACTGATCGAGTGTATTCAATGCAAATTTACTTTTTTTTTTTTTTTTGTGACAGGGTCTTGTTCCATCACCCAGGCTGGAGTACAGTGGTATGATCACGGCTCACTGCAACCTCAACCTCCTGGGATCAAACAGTCTTCCCACCTCAGCCCCCCAAGTAGCTGGGACTACAGTCGTGCACCACCAGCAAATTATTTTTAAATGCTAGATAACCAGATATCACAATGCATCTCACACCACATGTGTACATGTGTGCACACACACTGTACTGCAGTATTTTTGCTAAGGACACTGTCCAATCCAGGGACCCCACAGCTTGGTGTACCCTCTAACTTCCTGCTCCACTTTTTGCTTTGATGCTAACAAGGATAACACTACTAGTGGCCAACCCTATGCTGGAAGCTGCCAGGCCCTTTATCTGCAGGATCCTCACTGACCCTGCCAGCTTGGGATGATTCTCCACCCCTGACAGATGAGGATACTGAGGCTCAGAGGTGAAGGCTTTTGCCAATTCTGTTGTTTTGCATCATTATGTTGTACTGAATCTGTGCTGAGTACCTAGTCTGGTGCCTCTACCCTTTTCTCCTTGGGATGCCTAATGAACTCCTCTTCATCTGTCAGAGCCCAGTTCAAATGCCCCCCTCTCTTTCTGACTTTCTTCTGTGTGAGTGTGTGTGCACATGTCCTAACCACCAGATGTACAGACATAACTGGGAACCAAAGAGGGTTGGCCCAGGGCCAGCCCTGGATTCTGGCAGCACCAGGAAGAGACCAGGGCAGCTCCAGCACCCCTACCCTAGCTTGGGACTCACCTTGAAGTAGGGGAAGTGCTCCTTCATGAAGCTGTAGATCTCGCTCACAGGCAGGCTGCCTGTCTTGCTGTTCTTCAGGGCCATGGCGATCAGACAGCTGGGGGCAGGAGGTGGGGCAGGGCAGGGCAGGGCAGGACAGGGCAGGCCAGGCATGAAAGGGTCTCAGGCTGACAGCCCAATGCCGCCTCTGCCAGGAAGCCTGCCCTGCTTGACCCTAAACACTCACACACAGTGAGCTCTCAATATCTTTTCATGGCCCGATGTCTTTCCCACCCTTTGCCCTTTCTCCTTGATCTGGGCACAACAATTGGTACTGACTTGAGAAATCTTACCCTTTCCCCTCTTTATTGCATCCCCATAATTTTAATGGCTATGAGCCTTCAGACTTTACCTAGGTTGTTTCCCCCTCCCCAAACTCCCACGAGGTATACAATACTATTATTTTGATGACTTTTTACATTTGGGGAAATCGAGGCTCAGAGAGGTCATCCCACTTCCCCAAGGCCACGTGGCTTATGAATGAAGTGAACTGTGGCACTGGACTCAGGTCTGCAGTGGGCTCTTGACCTGGGGGACCCTATGATGCGCCTTCCTGAGAACAAGTCCCACCTGGGGGTTCCCCACTCCCCAAAACCTCCCCCTTGGAAGTCTGGGCTGCCACACTAGCTGTCTGAGATGCCCTGAGGGCAGCCTCATCCCTCTCTCCCGGAGCCGCCCTTGGCCCTGACCCGGCCCACCCTGGACCTCACCTGTACGAGTAGATGGGCTTGGGGTAGTGTTTGGGGTGCAGTTCTTGAGATGAATGCACAGCCACGTGGGGCTGGGGGTAGGGGGGCCGCACCCCAAATGGGGGGCCATAGAGGCCCACAGGAGGGCACTTCCCACAGGCAGGGGCAGGGAGAAAGTGGCAGAGAAAGAGAGAAGGTGAGAAATAACATACGTCACTCACAGTAACACTGTCCCCACCCCAGTTTCAAAACACCTTGTGTGGGGATTCACAACCGTCCAGGAAACAATCTTGTCTCCACTCAGGGCAGGAGTTTTGGGGGAACGGAATGAATGACCCCATGACATGAGCATGGAGGGAATGTTATCCCCATGTGCTGGGTGAGTAAACTGAGGCTCAGAGGGGTCCCCGGCCAGCCCAAGGCAGGGTGTCTGCTGCTCAGTCCAGGGCTCCCCTGAGCCCTTGGTACCTGCTGGGCACCCGGGGGGAGCGGGAACTGTGGTTGGGTGGCAGGTGAGTACAGATGCGGCGGGTCCTGCAGGCCAGATGAGGGCTGGCCCCCCACGGGGAACTGGCTCATCTGCTGGGCAGGAAGAGGAGGAGACAGAGGGTCACGGTGGGGGTAGACACCCAGTCTGGAGGGCACTACCCGCCCTCCGCAGTCCATGCAGTGCCACTTACGCTGTCTCTGTGGCCAGTTATGGGGCCCAGACCTGGCATGCCTCGGGGGGCCATGCCTGCTGGGCCATGGAGAAGGGGACTTGGAGTGGCTCCCACATGCAGGTCGGCCACCCCAGCCAAGGCACCTGCCGGAGAGAAGCACAGAGACGCTGCTGGGCTGGAGGAATGGTGGCTGCCACCAGGAACAGCCCAGTGCCCAGGTGTCTCCGGAGAACGGAGCCAGCCCCTTTCCTCGGACCAGGCACATAGTAGGTGCTTGGCAAATCACTTCCCTGGTGTGTAGTGAAAAGTAGGTTCTTACCAGCTGTATAACCTTAGGTCAGCCTCAGTTTTCCCATTTGTACTTGATCTACTGATACCCCTAACTATAAATCTGCTGTGAGGGTTAAATGAGATAATGTCTATCAAGTGCTTAGCACACTGCTGGGCACATGATAATATCTCAATAAACATGAGTCAATAATAAATGATAATTGATTATGTCCTTCATGAAGCTAAAACACCAATTCACGGTTCATTTCTTTTCCTCAAAAACATGCCATGGCTCCCGAGTGCCTCTAGGTTTAGGTCCAAAGTACCTTTGTGCCTCCTCTCCCCTTTGCCAAGCCCTGCTGCTCCACACAGGATGAGAATGGCAGACATACTTCCCCCATCTTGTGCTGGGCTTGTGACAGACATTGCTAATCTATCACAGATTCTTACTGCTCTAGCCTGATTTTAGGCAGCCACCTCCAATCAAGCAAAGTTGACCTGCAGGATGGTCTTGCCCTAGGGCCACCTCTTCCAGGAAGCCCTCTGGGTCCTTCAGCTCTCTTCTGAGTTCTGGCTGCCACTGTCCCTAGATCTGTTTGTCTTGTCCTTCTCTCTCTGACCAGATCATCAGCTTTCTAAGAACTGGGACCACAACTTATATCATTCATTGCTCCAAATGCCTGGCACAGTAACAGGCCCACAGAAAGTACCCAGCAGCCACAGTGGGGAAAGAAGAGGAGAGGCGTCCTTATTTCACCATTTGTTAAACACCTCCGCATTCAAGGCACTTTCTGCATTGAATCCTCACAATGTCCCATGCAGGCAGTTCTGTTACACTTTTGCTGCAGATGTGGAAACCAGTCAGGGCAGAAAGCACTTGGCTGAGATCACACAGCTGTTCCCTGGGCGTTCTAGATCAGGGGTTGGCAAACTGGCAGCCAAACTCTGTTTTTGTAAATAAAGTTTTATTGGCACAGAGTTGCATTGATTCATTTACATATTGGCTGTGGCTGGTTTTGTGTTACGATGGCAAAGTTGAATTGTTTTGACAGATCAGTTGACCTACAAAATCTAAAATATTTACTACCTGGCCCTTGACAGAAAATTTGCTGACCCCTGCTGTACATGCTTTGCCCAAGAACGATTTGCCCAATGAAATAAATAATCCTAGACAAGTATTTTTCAACCACTGGTACTTTTAATATACTGTTGTTTATTGTTTTGTCACTGTTTTGCTTTTCTTCAATACTTTCTGTGTCTCTAAGCATTTTATCCATTTGCTATGATTGCACCTAACTGCCACTAGCTGCCTTTTATTGAGCATCGACTGTGTGCCAGCCCCTACACTCAGCACTTTCCACACATTATCTCTTGGAATCCTCTTGATCAGGGGGCAGCAAACTTCTTTTGTGAAGGGCCAGATGGCAAATATTTCAGGCTTTGCCAGCCAGATGGTCTCTGTGTTTTTACAACCCTTGGAAAATGTAAAATCCATTCCTAACACAAAGGCTGTACAAAAACAGGTCGTAGGCTGCATTTGGCCCACGGGCTGTAGTTTGCCAACTGCCCTAGAGGTTCAAGATGCACCAGTGTGGCAGCGGGACTCTATTCACAGAAACCTTAGCTCGCCCAGGGCCTGGCGCACAGTTAAGCAAATGATAAACCACATCTCTCTAAGGAAGGGAGCATTTGTCCCATTTTACAGATGCAGAAAGAGAGGCCCAGAGAGACTGGGAGACCGGGTCATGGCTGCACAGTGGGTGGGTGGCAGGGCTGGGAATCACCCCTCTCCTATATCACCCTCCTCCCTGCCTACCTTGTCCCTGAGCCTACCTGGGTGTGGATGTGGCACGCAGGGGCCACCCAGGTCCACGCGGCCACTTGCCATCTGCTGCAGCCGAGGCACATCCACCGCCGTGAGCCACGACAGCGACTGCAGGTCCCCGGGAAGGTCATCATCGCTGGTGGTGGCTAGAAGCCTGCAAAGAGGAACAGAGAACTCGGGCGGGAGGGGGAGCTTAGGCCAGCTCCTGGGGGTGCGTCCCGACCTCTGGAAGCACCCGCTTAATGTGCCTCATCTCCCCAAGCCACGCCAGCCCTCCAACCTGCCCGTCCCCAGGACTGGACACGGGAACCTGGTCCCAGATCCCTTTCGGCAGCCAGATCTTTCATCCTCATCATTCCTTCCTTAGCCCACTTAACGCATCCTACTTAGCACCTACCACATAAACAATGCACGCGAATATTTGTTGAGGACTTGACCAGTGCCAGACACCGATCAAGCCTTTTTACACTCCCAGTCACCCTATGAGGCAGGTGTTATTATTCCTATTTTACAGATGGGGAAACCGAGGCACAGTTGGAGCTCACCTACTATGGGACACTACAGCACAGAGCACTCAGGGCCTGTGGTCAGGGTCCCACCTGCCATGACAAGATCAGTCACCTGACTCCATGTCCAGGGCAGTTTCCTGCTGTACTGTAGCTGTGAGGAACATGGAACTTGGGAACGGTCTGCGTGGATGATCCTGCCATGTGCTGAGGCAGCTGAGTGCCTGCTACCTGCCAGGCCCTGGACTCAGCATTCAACAAGCGCTGTCCTGCACAATCCCCACAGCTGCTGTGAGATGTAGGGTGGG
The DNA here is from genome assembly GCF_000001405.40 of Homo sapiens. NCBI lineage: Eukaryota > Metazoa > Chordata > Mammalia > Primates > Hominidae > Homo > Homo sapiens. The sequence goes on from NC_000012.12 coordinate 109,290,947, forward strand.
CCCATACTCCCCTCGTACAGATGAGAAAACTGAGGCTTGGAGCACCGAGTCACCTGCCCAAGGCGACACAGAACAGGAGGTGGTGGGGCTGAGACCCAGTCAGTGCCTCCTGAAGCCTGAGCCCTTCAACTCGACCCCTGGTGGTCCCAAGAGGCTCCAGTTAGGACCCACACCCACCAGCCGCAACAGATTCATGGGCAAAACATCGGTTGTAGTGGATGTAGGATAGCTGCCCATGGAGGTGCCAGACAGGTCGGTGATTTGGGATAGCCATGTCACTCCCCAGTGCCCTCAAGTCACACTTGCCACGCGACTCCGAGAGCATCGGGTCTTACACCACCATCCGGGCCCTGTCGTGATGGTGCAGACCAGCCCAGGAGCACACGCCCGACTCCACCACATCTGCCACCCCTGTAGCCAGGGGCTTTCTGTGTCACCACCAAGAGGCCCACAGTCTAAATTCTAAGTTCCATGTTTCAAAAATAGCCTCATAGATTGAGGGGCAGAGAGAGGCGGGACACCGACCCATCCTGCCCTGGTTTTCTGCGCCTCTCGGAGGCTCCAGCAAAGCCCGGCCCCTTCCCTCCCTCCATCTGCTTGGCCAGCTCTGCCTCACGTTCTCCCTCTCCCTCCTCCTCCCTGTCTCTCTCTCTGCTCCTCCCCATCTCTCCCCTCTTGTGTTTTAGGGCCACAATTAGCGTTGCCATGGCCACACTGCTCAGTTGTCGCAGGGCCGGGCCCTGGGCCCACAAAGCTGGCATCAGGTGACTGCCTGGCTGCCCCCGCGATTGGCTGCCTCATAGGGAAACAGGGCCTGGAAACGATTTGAAAACGCGGCCGGCCGGCCGTGTCAGTGGCAGCAGTTGGTCCGGCTGCTGTCCCCCGGCATCCCATTGTGTGACAAACGACTGTTGCCCCTGTGGCACGTGGCCCCCATTGTCCCAGGGTCTCAGTGCAATTGTTTCTGCAGCCCCCCGGCTGCCACCCCTCCGGCCGCCACCCCTCCGGCTGCCACCCCTCCGGCCTGCTCGTAACTCATCTGGCCAAGTGACAGCCACGGCCCCGGGCCTGGGCGATACCATCTGTCCCCTCAGGCCCTGGGAGACCACGGGGTGAGGTGCAGGGGCAGGGCCTGCTATGCCACCCGCTGTTGGGGGTGCTGGCCAGTCCTCACCCTCCCTTCCTCACCCACTGGCCAGACAACCTCCCGGCGCCTGGTGGTGCAAGCCATGCTCCTGTTCAGTAACCTGCTGTGACTCCCCACTGCCCTGGCTGCTCTGCTTGGCACTGCGGTAACAAGGAGAAGTGGAGATGGGTCCCTGCTGGCAGGTTTGGTAAGGTGGCTGCCCTCCAAAGCTCCCTGAGTAGTCGGGGGGAGGGGCTATAAATAACCCAGGTTCCTAAGTGCCACTGTGGGGCAGGATCTCTGGCAGCAGGTAAACCTAACAGGCAGTACTCGTGGTGGTTAAATGCTTGGGCTCTGGATTCTAATCCTGGTTTCCACTTGCCTGTGTGCCCTTGGGCCACTGGCTTAACCTCTCTGAGCCTCAGTTTCTTATCTGTATAATGCGGATAACAATAGCTGTTATCGCATAGGATGTCATAAGAAATATGTAATTGTATGTAAAGCACTTGGAACAGTGGCTCACGGTCAATGTAATATGAATATTTAGCTGCTATTAATATTAATACCAACATTAATGCTCATATTAATATCCACCAGGTCGCCAGGGGGCTGGAAGTACACTGAAGCTTTGGGGTCTGGGGGTCACACCGACATGCCCCGGCCACTGCTACCACTAAACACGCCCATGTAATGAGCACTGCCTGGGTTTTACACTGGCCCCATTTTACAGATGAAGAAACTCAGGACTGAGTGGTCACTTCAATGCTGTCAGCCTGTTTCCCTATAGAGTGAGGATTACACGAAGTCACGTATAAAGGGCTGAGCACAAGGCTGAGCATCTAGTTGGGCTGAGTCAATGGCACTATCCTGATTCTTCTCTTTCCTGCTACTCGTGAGCCCCTCTGGCTCCCCCTTCCTGCAGCCCCACTCCTTCTGCAGCCCCCCGCAGGCCCAGGCAGGGCTCACCTCCACGCCTTTGCATTTGCCGTTCCCCTTGCAGGAATGATGCCCTTTCTGCTCCCTCCCCTGCACCCATGCCCACCCCTGGAGGCTCACTGCAAAGTCTGACTTCTGGCCTCTTCACCCCAGACATCCTGCAGACATCACTGGACCCCACCTCTTACTTTACCTCTGGAAAGCAGAGACTGGTTTGCTCCCAATCTCACAGTCTGGAAAAGGACCAGGGTTGGGGTCCTGACTCCCTGTGCAGGTTCCTGCTACCCCGAGAGCAGCACCTCCGCTGGGAAGCCTTTGCCACCCAGACCCCAAGCACAGGGACCCACTCTGCACCCTGACTGCTCTCTACACTTCGCCAGGACCAGCCAGTCCTGCACTGTCTAGTTCTCTGCCCCATCACTCTGCCTTCTGGCTCATTGAGTGTTGGCTCCAAACCCCATATTGCCCCATGTCCTTGCACACAGTGGGTGCCTTTGTTTGTTTTTTGAGACAGAGTCTCGCTCTGTCACCCAGGCTAGAATGTAGTGGCACGATCTCGGCTCACTGCAACCTCCGCCTCCTGAGTTCAAGCGATTCTCCTGCCTCAGCCTCCTGAGTAGCTGGAAGTACAGGCACGCGCCACCACGCTGGGCTAATTTTTGTATTTTTATTAGATATGGGGTTTCACCATGTTGGTCAGGCTGGTGCTGAACTTCTGACCTTGTGATCCGCCCATCTTGGCCTCCCAAAGTGGGTGCCCTTTAAATGCCTGCTTGGCTGGTTGAAATAGGCTGACCGCAGGCCACCAGCGCTGAGAGTTGGTGTGACAGTGACGGTCACATCTAGCTCTTTTGAACTGACAGAGCGGTCTTCCACCTCCTCAGGTCCTTGCCACAGTCCCAGGACAGGGACAGAGAGTAGGCAGCCCCACTTCACAGAGGGGGAAGCTGAGGCCAGCCCAGTAAAAGCAAAATCCCTTTGTTTATAAGCGAGGCAGTCAGAACTCGAACCCGGGTCTGTCTGCCTCCCTCAGGTGGTTCCTGTGGCACTACAGGTGGAGATCAGACGTCTTCCGGGGGAGATGCCCCACCCTGGGTCCCAGGCTCTCACTTGGGGCTACGCGAACCGGCATCTCCCAGAGAGCCAGTTAAAATGCAGAGTTGGGGCCCCAGCTCAGACCCTGAAGCCCCACCCTTGGGACTTCCAGCTATGCTCTGGGGGAAGGACAGCCCACAGGGGACACGGCCAAAGCTCAGGCTTTGACTGGACAGATCTAGGTTCAAGTCCTTGTAACCCCTGAGCTGCGTGACCTTGGACAAGTCACTGCAGGTCCCTGGGGCTCCAATCCCTGGCTGTCGTAGGATCAGGTGAGCCACTGTGTGACTGACTTTTGGCACAGGTGCAGTCCCCATCTCCCTTCTCGGGGGTTTGCTGTACATGCTTGGGGTCGATGGCCAGGCCCCTGCTTCCCCACTACTCCAGGCATCCCAAAGGTGGTCTGGTCCTCTCTTGTGCCCACTGCCCATGCCAGAATGTCCACCTCAGTGCACCTGACAGGTGGCCCCAGCCAGCACCCTGGACACCTGCAGTGGCTGTGGGTACCAGGAGCACTGTGGTGGGAGTCCACTGGCTCCGAAGGCTGGCTAACTTCCTGCTGTCTCTTAGGGTCTCTCTGGCATTCAGGCATGTCTTCTGCATACATGGCAAGGTCCAGGGGCTGATGCACTAGGGCCTACATGAGAATGTCTCATCCCCCAACCCCCTGCCCACACTGACCTCTGTCCCCTGCAGAAAGGTCAGCACGTGCCCCTCTCCACAGTGGCATGTGAAGCCCCCTCCACACCTCTCCCTCATCAGTGCCTGAAGTTCCCTCATTAAAGGTGTCCCCATGTGCCCTCGCCTCTCCTGGTGCCTCATTTGAGATGTTGTAAACTACAGGGCTCACAGCAGCTGTAACTCAGGAAAGACTCCTTGGTTCTGGAACCACCCATTCTGGCTTCTCAGCCATAGGCCCTGGGGAGGGCACTTAATCGCCAGCCTCAGTTTCCCACCTGTAAAATGGGCATGAGTGATAATAATAATAATAGTAATAGCCGCAATACCTCATACCCCCCAGGCTGGCACACTGGTGTGGAGGCGGAGTGGCTTTGTGATCCACCCTGCCATCTTAGAGGGTTTGGGAATATTCCCTGGTGTGTGTGTAACAGAGAGAGCCACACAGAGAGAGACCCTAAATCAACCTCCTAAGTTTCTCCTCTACTGGAAAATGACAGGACATTTTTAATTCAAAGAAAAAGGCACATTCTAGCCCCACTGCCCTGGGCTCTCCTCCCAAGGCCTGTTCTGCTCCCCATCTGGGTGTGTCACTTCAGTTCCTGGGCGAGAGGAAAATTCAGCCCTGCTAACCCTGAGTCTCCCATGTCACTGATGCCTGCCTGCCTAGGGTCACCTCCAGAGGAGGCTTTGAGAAGAATCAACTGCAAAGACCCAACTCTGGCCGGGTGTGGTGGCTCATGCCTGTAATCCCAGCACTTTGGGAGGCCAAGCCAGGCAGATCACCTGAGGTCAGGAGTTTGAGACCAGCCTGGCCAACATGGCGAAACCCTGTCTCTACTAAAAATACAAAAAGTAGCTGGGCACGGCGGCGTGCGCCTGTAATCCCAGCTACTCGGGAGGCTGAGGCAGGAGAATTGCTTGAACCTAGGAGGCGGAGGTTGCAGTGAGCCAAGATCATGCCACTGCACTCCAGCCTGGGCGATAGAGCAAGATACTGTCTCAAAAAGAAAAAGAAGACCCAACTCCTTCCACCCGCTTCCTCCACTCTCCCTCCATCTCTGACTCCCCTTCTCTCTTCTTCTGTGTCTGTCACTGTAACTGAGGGGCCCTGGGAGGAAGTCCCAGCCCTGCCCTTCAGGTTTGGTGGCATCTGATGTGCTTCCTAACCTTCCTGAGCCTCAGTTTCCTCATCTGTAGAATGGGAGCAACAATGATGAAGGCAGAGCACCCACAAGAGCTCTGATAAGTGCCCATCCTCTCCTCTTCCCCTTTCTCTGACATGGCGTCCAGGGTCCCCGATCTCCCATGGACCTGTCTCCACCCTACTCACCTACAGTCCCCTGCATGGTACCAGCCCTGCTGCTGGGTCGCCCAGAGGCACTGAGCCAGGCTTTCTGGGGAAGAGGCCGGGTACCTGCAATTAACGCATCCCCCAGCCTCAGGTGGTTCCTGCGCACCCAGCGCTGGGGAGCTGTGGCCCCATCCTGCCCTCCAACCTGTTCAGGTGACCCCCGTGCTCTCACTCAGGTGTGGTATGTGACAAGCCTCCGTTGCACTAAAGGTCCCGGCTGGGGCCAAATGTCCTTCCCCCCTTCTCTGTGTGCCTTCCTCTGTGTCTCTGCGCCTTCTGTTCCCTCACAAAGGATGCCTTTCCTTCTCCCTCTCTGCACCTTTCAGTGTCTCCCCATTGGATTCCCGATTTCTCTGAGCCCCAGGGAGCGCTCTAGTTGGCCACAATTTTCTTCTGAGCCCAACTGGTGGCCCCAGGGAGGGTAGGGGCTACACCTTCAGGTCTTCAGGGTCCCTAAGGGTCTGGCAGGGAGGAGACCAGGACAGGACAGGGGTTGAGTCCCCTGCTGGGTGCAGGCAGCCCCCAGAGACCCTGATGCTGAAGCAAGGACCCTCATGCCCCCAGGGGAGGAGCCAAACTCCCAGTGCCCAGCACAGGGCCGGGCACACAAAGGCTGCTCTACAAGTACCCACAGATGAACACAGATGAGCAAACAGACCCAGCATTCTGGTTGCTCCACCCACACTCCCCTGGGGTCAGCTGTCCCCCCATGGATGTGGCATGGGGTGGACAAGCCCCTGGTGTGCGCCCAGCCCTGAGCTAAAGCCACTTTCTCACTGGATCTCACATCATCCTTGCAAGAGCCTGATCAGGCAGGGATTGTTATCGTCACCACCTTCCCATTTGCCAGACGAGAACACTGAGGCCAGAGAGGAACAGGCCTGTCTAGGGTCACCCAGCCAGGGAGCTGTGGAACCAGGAGATCCACCTCCAGAGACTGGGTTGGCCACAACAACCCTGTCCTTTTCTCCCTGGCTGAAGAAGTGTGCTCTATTACAGAGGTCAACAACCTCCAGGCTGAGGACCAGTACTGGTCCGTGGCCTGTTACGAACCGGGCTGCACAGAAGGAGGTGAGTAGCAGGTGCCTGAGCTCCACCTCCTGTCAGATCAGCAGCGGCATTAGATTCTCACGGGAGCGTAAACCCTATTGTGAACTGCACATGCAAGAGATTTAGGTTGTCCACTCCTTATGAGAATCTTTTTGTTTTGTTTTGTTTTCTTGAGACAGGGGCTTGCTCTTGTCGCCCAGGCTGGAGTGCAGTGGCATGATCTTGGCTCACTGCAACCTTCACCTCCTGGGTTCAAGTGATTCTCCTGTCTCAGACTCCCAAGTAACTGGGATTACAGGCGCCACCATGCCCAGCTCAGTCTTTGCATTTTTAGTAGAGATGGGGTTTCACCATGTTGGCCTGGCTGGCCTTGAACTCCTGACCTCAAGTCATCCACCCACCTTGGCCTCCCAAAGTGCTGGGATTACAGGCGTGAGCCACGGTGCCCAGCCTCCTTATGAGAATCTAATGTCGGATGATATGAGGTGAAACAGTTTCATCCCGAAACCATCCCCCTTCCTTCACCCGGTCCATGGAAAAATTCTCTTTCACAAAACCAATCCCTGGTGCCAAAAAGGCTGAGACTGCTGCTCTATGATATCTAGAAAATCCTCGCAGTGTCTCCCCAATAGGCAGGCACAAGCAGCTATTTACATTTAAATTCATTGAAATAAAATCAAATGTACAGATTTGGTTCCTTGGCCCATCAGCCACGTTTGAAGTGCTGAATGGTCACACATGGCCAGTGCAGATATGAAATATCTCCATCAGTGGAGAAAGTTCTAGGTGGCAGTGATCTGAAACAATCTTTTCCATCTTGATGGAAAAAATCTGTGGTGTTCTTACATTGCCTTAAAACAACTAGAAATTTGATTTAGATCTGGAAATTTAAGGAGATGATTTCATGGAATTTTGAGTTTTAGTATGTTTCATTGTAAAAGGAGTCCCCCATCGCCATCCCCACCACCAGCAAGGAGGTTGCAGGGAAGAGCTCTGTAAAACAGGAGCTGTGCATTAGGGCATCTCACAAAGTTGTGAGCCCCCCGTCCCAGACCTATCCAAGCAGTAGCCGAGGGGATGAACTGCCAGGCCCCTGCTGGATGAAAGATGAGCCCAAGCAACCTGTACGGTTCCTTTTGTTTCAGGTTTTTTTTTTTTGTTTTTTTTTTTTGCTTTGTTTTGTTTTGTTTTTGTTTTTAACATGGAGTTTCGCTCTTCTCCAATGGAGTGCAATGGCATGATCTCGGCTCACTGCAACCTCCGCCTCCCGGGTTCAAGGAATTCTCCTGTCTCAGCCGCCTGAGTAGTTGGAATTACAGGCACCCACCACTACACCCAGCTAATTTTTGGCATTTTTAGTAGAGAGAGAGTTTCACCACGTTGGCCAGACTGGTCTCGAATTCCTGACCTTAGGTGATCCGCCCACCTCGGCCTCCCAAAGTGTTGGGATTACAGGTGTGAGCCACCACGCCCAGCCCTTCTAAGGTTGCTTTTGATGCAAAGACCCCGACATTTGTGGGAGAAACCTGCAGGTGAACCCCCTGGGAGCATTTCCAAAGTTCCATCATCTTGGGCAAGCACCTTTCCTTCTCCAGACCTCAATTTCCCCAACTATAAAGCAGCAGCAACAGAGTAGAGGGTCCCTCAGGGCCACAGGTGTGAGCTCCTCCTGGCTGCGTGACCTGGGGCTGGTGACTTATCTGCCCTGGGCCTCAGTTTCACTGTGTAGACAGTGGGAATAATAATAGCAGCTACCCTAAGGGAGTTGCCTGAGAGAAAATGACAACAGTTCATCAATAATTTATTTAAGCATCAGATCAGATGAGGCATCTGGTCTGCTGAAAAGGCAGGCAGAACTATTAGTTCAGGGGTCCCCAGGGTGACTCCTGACAATGTGTCTTTCTCAAACTACGTGGGTGATCTGTCACCCACAGGGAGTCCTCATTGGTGAGCAGAGAGCTTTTTGGGCAAAAAGAACATAAAAGACCTATCTGGTGCTCCAGAGTCTCCCTGAATTCAATAGTTCACCAGCAACTTCCCCCGCCCCCAAGGACGCTTCTTGCTTTTCAAAGCTCAGCCTTTTGCAGGTGCATATTTTTCCTTATCAAAACGCATATGCACACAGACACACACACGCACGCATGCACACTACGCACACGGATGCACACATGTGTGCACACACACGTGCACACACACAACACACATATGCACACACAACACACACGTGCATGTAAACGCACACATGCACACGCCCACAGACCCTAGAGGCTTCATCATCCCCTTTAACAGATAGGAAAGGTGAGGTCAAGCCAGGTGACCTCGCCAAATCCCCAAGCTTCAGCAGCCCCAGGTAGCTGCTTCAGCACCTCCCTCCTTAGGCCTCGATTTCCTCATCTGGGATGCCACTAGAGCCCCTTTAGGCAGTCCCCCCTCTGCCAGGAAGTAGGGGGATGCTGAAGGGTTGGGTCCCCTTTTGAAGGGACGGAACACATGGAGCATTCAAGGTCTGAGACAGATCCGGGCAAGGATTGAGGTGGCACCCTGGGAACATCAGTGTCAGAATAACACTCTATCATTGGTGTAATCCATTTCCCAAGTACCTACTATGTGCTTATTACTTCATGGGTGTTACCTGTGTGCCCTTGTGAGTTCTGCAATGCCACATCCTAAGCCCATCCCAGCGGGGCAGCCCAGCCCCGGGTCCCCCTTTGCTCTCTCTGTGGCACTGCAGTGGAGTGGTCACCCAGGTAGGCTTTGGGGTCAGCCAGGCCTAGATCTGGCCACTTAGCAGCTGTGAGAATTGTCTGCAGCTGTCTGCCTCTCTGAGCCTCAGTTTGCACATCTATAAAATGGGAGTGCTAATGCTCATCCATCTCACGAGGTATGGTGAGGATTGAAGGAAGGCACACAGGTAGGCCGCTCACCCCAGTGGTGGTGGTCCCATTATAGTAAACATCTCCTGAAGAGTATGGAGAAGTAGACCCCGTGAAGACAGCCAACAGCAGGGTGTCCGGCACTCGGGAAGTGTCTGCTTTATTCCACAGCATTTCTTGAACTCTCACTTGCCAGGCACTGTTCTGGCAAGCAGAAGCAACTGTCCGCATCCAAGGAGATAACTTTCTGATTGACGCCAGAATGCACAGGAGAGACCCCTGCATGGGATGCTACCTTCCTGCCAACCCCCTAGGTCCAAAACTCTCCAGTCTCCTGAGAGCCTGTGGGGACAGCTACCTGTCATCCTCATTTCACAGATGGGATGGCTGAGGCCCAGAGAGATGAGTGACATGTCTCAGCCACATAGCATATCTGCAAAGGAGCTGGGATTTGAACCAGGGACGCACTCAGAGCCTGGAGCCTCTTCACTCAGCTGCTCTACCAGTTTGGTTGAAATGCAGGAAGGGCAAACCCTCATCATATCATTTATTTAAAAAATCAGGGTGTGCCCAGGCGTGATGGCTCATGCTTGTAATCGAAGCGCTTTGGGAGGCTGATGCAGGAGGATCACTTGAGGCCAGGAGTTCAAGACCAGCCTGGACAACATACTGACACCTTGCCTCTACAAACATTTTTTAAATTAGCCAGGCATGGTGATGCAGGCCTGTGGTCCCAGCTACTTAGGAGGCTGAGGCAGGAGGATTGTTTGAGCCCACAAGTTTGAGGCTGCAGTGAGTTCTGATTACGCTGCTGCACTCCAGCCTGGGGGACAGAGCAAGACCCTGTCTCTAAAAAAATAAAAATAAAAAATAGAAAATAAAAAAATCCAGCTGCCAGGTATCCCCATGGTGTCACAGTCACTTGTCAGGGGACCCTGTGGTAGCTCTGGGCAAGGCAAGACACCACTGGAGTCCATGGCTTCCATCCTACGCTGACTGGGAGATCAACCCAACCCACTTTAATGGACAATGTCCTTAATCAGTTGTGTTGCTGGAGGGAGGAAAGAAACCGGCAGGGAACAGGAGGACAGGGACCAGGGAGACCTGCATTCCAGTCCAGCTCCACTCTTAATGGGGAAGTCTTGGGAAGATAACTCAATGCCCTTTGAACCCCAGCATCCTCGTGTGCCGAACAGAGGTGAGAACAGAGCCTGACTCTCAGTTCGGGGTAGGCAAACCATAGGTGCCATGTTTGGCTCCAGGTAGGCACTGGAGAACTGTTTGTGGAATGGATTTAACACCCAGCAGCCAAAGTGACCTCTTACAAGGGACATTGGAACCTGTCATTGTCCTTAAAACCCACCAAGGGAGTGAGAGTCAAGCTCCTCACCTTGACCTGGCACTCGACCATCTCCTTCCCCACCTCTCTCCTTCCATCCTCTCTGCTCTAGCAACCTGTCCATCTCCCAGTTCCTCAAACATTCTAATTCTCACTCATCTTAAGATCACTGTACACACTGTTCCCTCTGCCTGGAATGCTGTTCCATGCACTCATTTATAGCTGGCTCTTTCTCAGCCTAAATGATCTCTCCTGCAAGAGGCCCTCCCAGGCCCTCCCTATCTCTTCCTGTGGGTGTCCACAGAATACTTATTTTGCAATGAGATATTTACTTATACATGTTTCCAGTCTTTCTGCCATAGGATGGCAAGGACCAGGAGGCCCTCTATTTTGTTTAGCACCTGGCATAGGACCTGACGCCCTGTGGGCATCTATTACATACTCTCAAGTATGAAAGCTAGAGTCAGAAAGGGAGGAAGAGTCCTCAGCCCAGCCCAGCCCCAACATATCTTGCATTCTTCAATCTCCATTCATTTCCTGCCCAGCTTAAATACACCTCCTCCAGGAAGCCCTCCCAGACCAGTTCAGCATCTCCCAGTTTTCCCTTCTCCTGAAATGGTTAGTGCTGTCAGTATCTACACGTAGCACAGACCACTCATGATCACCCACTAATGTAACCCAGGCATCTGTTCTTACCCGCTCCTCCCTTCTAGATACTAAATGCCAAGAGGACAAAGATGGATGTGTCTTACACCTCATTACAAGACCCATAGCAGCCAGCTCTGAGCCTTTCATTTGACAAATATTTGTCCCCCCAATGTGAACTGGACCCCCACGGCCACTGTCCCGTGATTGTTGCCATAAAGGTAAAATGCAATGAACTTGCCATAGAGCCTGGCAGGTGCCCACACAGGGTCACACATATTTATGGATGGATTATGGTTTCTGTGGGAATACTTGCCTACATAGCTGAAGTCCAGAGACCACAATTAACTCTTTACTTCCTACCTTGGGATTCCTTAGGTTGATACAGCAATTGTACAGAGGAAAGAATATCCATCTTGAGTTTAGTTGAAATCTCATCTCAACCCCTTCATAGCTGTGTGATTTGGGGGAAGTCACTTCACCTCTCTGTGCTGCAGTTTCCTCATAAGTAAAATGGAATAATAATAATTCTCACCACAGGGGGCAGATGTGAGGATAAGATCAGGTAACCTCTAAGACAAAGCCAGACACATAGTAGTAGGTGCTCAGGCCACATTTCTCTCTTCCCACTTCATTCTCTCCTCTGCGTTGTCATTTAGGAGGGGTCTGCCTGACAAATATTGCCGGGGGGTGGGGGTTAGATCACCATTCCAGAGATTCAGAGACATGTCCCGCCCTACCTGCGCGGCAACTCCGCCCTGATTACAACAAGGTTTCGCCTGCCTTCTTGAGATGTGGTGGGTAAGAAACTGTTACATCACTGAAAGCTGTTCTTGTTCCCAATCCAACCATTACACAAAAAGGGATTAAGCATTTCATGGAGGTGTTTATTTAGCTAACACATCTTTTGTAACCATGTGCAGGATAAAGAAAATCAAATACAATTTAGCAAGCTCAGAAATTCCCAGCTTGGCCAAGGGTCAGTGTAGTGTGAAATGATTTGATTAGGAATTTGGATAAAAGAATCTTTCCTTTCTAGAACAAGAGTTGGCTTGGGACTTAGAATGTGCATGTGTGTGTGAGTGCATGCACACATGTGTTTTTTAGGGATGAAACTGCAAGACTGGGAAAGAGTCGGACCACAGAGAGGCTACCTCTCTTCCTTGCCCATAAGGTCACCTGAGGAGCTGTTCTCTCCACCCTGAGGGTGAAGGGATGGGAAGACATCGGGATGGTTACTGCCCCTAAGAAACGGAGCCCCTTCCAAGGAGATCACAACTGATGGGTGAAGCCACCTGATATGGGTTAAACTATCCCCACACGCAGTGTGGGTTCAAGAGAAATTTATCATCCCTTGAGCATGAAGCCTCCCTGTGTTTCCATGGATGTGTTATTTTCACGTGATATTTGTCCATTCATCCATCTATCCAGTACATATGTATTAACTTTTATCTACTGTGTGCCCAGCATTGCAGTCCACAGATAAGAGAACCACCATCCAGAGAGAGGAAGGGCTTTCCCCTAAGGTCGCCTCATTTCTTAGAGCAGGGACTGAGATTTTGGGAAGTGAACATCCAGCACGAGGATCCAGAAGGAGGACCACTGAGCCTTGTGGCCCTGGGAGAAGGTGAGGGTCCAAGAAGCCAGAAGCCTGCCTTCCGTCATCTCACTGGGCCTCAGTTTCCCAATCTGTAAAAGGAGCTTGTTGGACCTGACCTCTAGAATAAATTCTAAAAGGTAGGGGCAGGTGATTAATAATATAAGTTCTGCCCCTTCATAAATGTGTGCCTTTGAGCAAGTCATGTCTCTTGGCCTCAGTATCCTTACCTGTAGATTGGGATAATGTCAGTACCTGTCTCATGGTTGTTACTATAAAAAAGTGGCACGCCTGTAATCCCAGGACTTTGGGAGGCTGAGGCAGGCGGATCACTTAAGATCAGGTGTTGAAGACCAGCCTGGACAATATGGTGAAACCCCATCTCTACTAAAAATACAAAAATTAGCTGGGCGTGGTGATGGGCGTCTGTAATCCCAGCTACTCAGGAGGCTGAGGCAGGAGAATTGCTGGAACCCAGGAAGTGGAAGTTGCAGTGAGCTGAGATCGCACCACTGCACTCCAGCCTGGACGATAGAGCCAGACTCCGTCAAAAAAAAAAAAAAGAAAGAAAAGAAAAGAAAGAGAAAGAAAGAAAGAAAGAAAGAAAGAAAGAAAGAAAGAAAGAAAGAAAGAAAGAAAGAAAGAAAGAAAGAAAGGAGAAAGAAAGAAGGAAAGAAGGAAAGAAAGAAGTAAATAAAAAGATGAAATGGGATGCTGCCCTTGCTAAGATGTTTTGCAGGTGCCTGGCACACAGTAGATACTTAATAACTCTGTTTTAGCACCTCTAAGGGTGGACTTTCCTCCCACCCCCTGAGCTAGAGAGAAATCCAGCTAACCCACATTGAGCATGAGCCCTGTTTACCGTTGCCCAAGAGGTCAGGACCACCCCCAGTCCCCTGCCCCTTCATCAGCAGCAGGGCTGAGAGGCTGCTGCCAATTTGCTGTCTAGGCCCCGCCACTGACTCCTGACAGCTCCCCAGGGACAGGGCAGCCGCCTCTAGCTGCTGCCCCCGCCCTCCTGCACACAGCCATTGAAAATTAACGGCCAAACTCAGCCCCAGGGGGATGGAGAGCCAGGCGGCTGCACGAGAGGCTGGACCCACAGCCTAAGTGGTCCTTGGAGTCCTTCTCTGGGATGTGGGAGGGCGAATGAGAAGCCCATAAACTTTTCCTGGGCTACTATTTGGGGAGAAAAATGGGAGTGGTTGGAAGTGGGAAGTCACTGTGTAATCATAAAACCCCCTCTGCAAGAAAGCATTCTCTCCCAGGCCCCTCTGAATGCCTTGACCCATTCGAAGTGCAGAATCCTCCCAGCAAACCTGCAAATTGGGTGGCTCCATTTCACTGATGAAGAACCTGAGGCTCAGAGAGAGGCAGTGACTACTCCAGGGTCACACTGAGGTGAGGTGATGCAGCAGCTTATTCTGTTCCAACACCCGTGCTCATGGCCAGTGGGACTTGGGGCCAGTGGTCACAAATGGTGGTTACAAATACTCTCAGGGTGCAACCACTTTGGGGCCAAGTCTCCACTGTACCCATGATGAGCTGTGCCATCTTGTTAAGCCATTTAAACAGGCTCAGCCTTGGTTTCCTCATTCACCAAATGGGCCCAAGAGTTCTACCTTCATGGGGTGGTTTTGGGGATTTGATGGGATTTGACGGGGATTTATGCCAAAAGCCAAGAGCACAGGGAAGGCAGGCAGTAAAAGGTTAAGAAACCACCAGCTGCTATTATTATTGTTGTTATTATTATTATTATGTTATTTTGCCTTCTGGATACTCTGGCTGTTGGATATAAGAAAACACTGCTGGGCACGGTGGCTCACGCCTATAATCCCAGCACTTTGGAGGGAGGTCGAGGCAAGTGGATCACTTGAGGTCAGGAGTTTGAGACCAGCCTGACCAACATGGCAAAACTCTGTCTCTACTAAAAATAAAAAATTAGCCAGGCACGGTTGCTCTCGCCTGTAATCCCACCTATTAGGGAGGCTGAGGCAGGAGAATTGCTTGAGCCCGGGAGGCGGAGGTTGCAGTGAACTGAGTTCACACCACTGCACTCCAGCCTAGGTGACAGAGTGACTCACACACACAAAAAAAACAAGTAAAAAAACCAAAAACAAACAAACAAAACAAAAACCAGCCTTGAATCCACGTGAACAGGAAAGGCTTGTGCCAGACCAGGAGCCTGGGCACCTCTGGATCCAGTGCTGATGGGAACAGGCCTGCTTCTCCTCCCCACTCCCCAACTCCTGACCCCTGCTAGCTCGGCAGTGGACTGGCTAGGCATTGCCAGGCCCCCAAGAAGTTCTCTGCTTGCCCCGCCCTGTTTTTGGAGAAGGGCAGTTGCTTAGTGCCCCCAGACAGTTTGTCAGCTGGGTGGCCCAGATGAACAAGGTCAAGACTCCGGGGCTGAGTCTGATGGGAGCCCCTCCTGGGCAGCACCTGGGCACCTGGATTCAGGGTTTCTCCCACCCTCCAAGTTCCTCCCCACTTCCCACCGTGAGAGCCCTCCATAGACGCGTCTCTTGCGGGAAGCTGGACTCTCTAATGTAACTAAGTGGTAACAGCAACAGCAACTACTGATTATGTGTTTCTTGCTCTACAAGCTTTATTTACTTAATCCTCCCAGCAACTGCATGAGGGAAGAGCTGTGATCATGCCCATTTTAAAGATGAGAAACAAAAGCAAGTCACCGGCCCTGCCTAAAGCTGGGCTTTGAACCTGCACGTGTCTGAATCCTAGCAATTGTTCTCACTCTCTGACTCCCCTATCTCCAGTGCTTTTAAGGGGCGCTTTTAGGCAACAGTAAGATTCAATGTCTTTGAGCTCTTAAAGCCAACCTGGAGGAAGGATGCGCTCGCCCAGGCTTGCAGCTAGGAGGGCAGAAGTAGATTCACCCTGGATACATTCAGTGCCTGCTGGGTGTCAGGTGCCTTCATAGATAATATGATACATATATCATTTAACCCTCCAGAGCTAGCTTTTACTATCCCCATTGCACAAAACTATGAAAGTTCACAGGTGAATCTGCTCATAATTGGTGAATGGCAGAGCCAAAAATGATTACTAAATTGTCATAACAACTCCATGCAGTGGGTATTATTTCTATCCCCATTCTACAGATGAAGAAGCTGAGGCTCAGAGAGCTCCACGTAGCCAGAGAAGTTGGGATTATAATGGACTTGAGAGCCTAAGCTGCTAACCCTTACACTGCCACTAAATCACTTGGCATTATTTAAACCCTGAGAGTGCTGGAAGGAAGCCTAGAGGCCCTTGGCTGTGTGATCTTGGGAGAAGCCATTTCATTTTTCTAAGCCTCAGTTTCCTCACCTATACAACAGGGCTCATCAGAGCAACCTCCCGAGATGAGGTGAGTGATGGGGGATGGCACACAGTAGGTGCTTGCAAACTGCCACGTACCTGGCCCCAGCTCTGCACACAGCAGGCTCTCTGCAAATATCTGTTTGAATCTGTGTCCTCGTTTGGATCTCAGAAGGCAGCTTCCAGGCCCACAGCCCTCAGGAAGCAGCCTCCCTCTAATTGCGGGCTGCGGTCTGTCCCAGCAGGCACTCCTGGTGAGTTGCAGTGACCCCGGGGGGGCCAGACAAACCCTGGGTAAACAGGGCTGATAGGAGGTGACAGCCTGCTCTTCCCAGGCCAGCCCTGGTCCTGTCCCCATTCCGTAATCTGGACTGTGCCCCCTCAGCCTACAGACATGTTGCTTGCTCTGTCGGGGGAGCCCTGGAAACGAGGTCAGGGCTCCCTGGCCTCAAGGGGAAAGAGGCCGGGAGGGGACTCCAGGTCCTTCCTTTTCCTCCTTTTCCCTCCTGGAGACCTTGGACAAGCCCTTTCCCCTTTCTTGGCCTCAGTTTCCCCAACTGTAAAAAAAATAGGGGGTGCGCAGACTGGTTGACCTCCTAAAGGCCTTTTTGGCTATGATGTTTGAAGACAAAAAAAGACAGAAGGGCTCTGAAGGCTTCCATGCATCCTCTCAGTTGTACCTTGCTTCACCCTGTTTCAAGGCCTCAGTTTCCATCTAATTTACTCTTCAAACACATGAGGCCTAGAAGAAACCTTAAGATCATCTACTTCAACAAGATCAATTAAATGATGAGGAAGTGAGGCCCAGGGCAAAGGACTTGCTGAATGTCACACAGCCTGGCTGAGAACTTAGCATATCTGACTACTTTCTTAACATCTGTGGAGGATAGAACCCAATTCCTCCCAGAAGGTTTTTTTTTGGCAGGGGGTGGGGGAGCATTTCCCACAGCCCCCATTAAGGCCACTGGAGGGGAAGCAGTAGCTGCTATTGTCATCTTAACATTCACCAGGATGCCCAAACAGTATCAAATGCAGAAACGGACCTCTTTTGGAGGGGACAAGAGACAGCAGGCATTTCGTGGTCCCACTGGGCCAGGTTGTGGCCCAGACACCCTTAGCAAGACCAACATTGAAATCAAGACTTTCCAGCTCTCCCGCAAAAATCACAGAATTGAACATAACAATAGTTCTTGGGCAGTTTCAGAAACCATAAACAGCATACAAACACTTTGAGCAATTAAAAAATATATAGTTTGTTATTGTTGGAGCCCTCACCTGTATTCCTGTGGAGAGGGGTGGTGATTTTGCCCTGAGTTTCGAATAATTCCTGACATTATGGATGAGGTGTCACTTTCTATCATCTCCTTGGGAAAAGACAAGCAGAAAACAAAGCTCCCATCAGCGACGATATGGACAGGGCAGAAACCCACAGTTTTCCCGCAATTCAGAAAGATGGAGCACAATCAACTCACAGAACACTTTTTTTTTCTTTAAAGAAAAAAGTTCTAGAGGATTCCTGGGCATCTCAGGTCACTTTCCCAGGGCAATTCTACAGCGTTTTAGAAACAAATGAAGAGAATGAAATGAAATTCCCGGTTCTTTCGAATTAATGGGGGAAGAGCAAGGGAAGCTCTAGAATCCAAATGTCAAACCTGGAAAATGTGGACTCACAAAATAGGAATCAGAAAAACGATTTCCTTCCAAGCCTTATATTTTCAACCTCAGTTTGGTTATGATCACTTTCAAAATAAGGGGCAGCTGGATGTGACATGTGTATTTCTCTGGGGGAACAAATTCCCACTTGCAAAGGGAATAATCCCCGCAAGCTCCTGCCCTGAAATGCCTTCAGAAATGCCACAAGCCCTTACTGGAAAACCAATCCAACCACCCACGTCCCCGCAACACACAAACACTGCCTTAAAAAAATAATAAAAATATTTGAGTTCCCTAAGTTTCTCAAACTCCAAGCCTGAACCAACATAAAAGCCCACCAAAGCCTCAGTTCCGCCCCCAAAGCCATCGAAGGATTCCCAGGAAGGAGGAAAAGGGAGCAGAGGGAGGCGGCCCCGCAGCCCCTGCGCCCGGGTCTCTACCCTGGAAATGCAATGCCCGGCATTGCCCGGGAGGAGGGAGCAAAGCCGACCCTGCAAGGCGGTACCTGGAGCCGATCCTCGCGGGGCCGCCGCTGCCGGCGCTCCGGGGGTGGGCAGGGGTTCCGGAGGGGGGCTCCCTCGCGCTCGCCCCTCGCGTTCCGCAATTTGGCCGCCGTCGCAGCTCGAACCGTTTTTAAATTTCCCTCTCTGGAGCTGTCCAGCTCAGAGCATGCGCAGTAGCCGTGCGGGGGGCTTTTCCCCAAGGGTCAGTTACAGGGCAGGGTCAAGGGGATTGCAGCGGGCGTTTCCCAGCAGCCGCGAGCCTTGCACGCCCCGGGGTTCTGGGGGGGGGGTGTGTGTGAGGGGGGCGGGGCGGAGGAGTGCAGGGGTAGGGACCCCTCTTCAAACTTTGCCAACAGTGACAACAACTGCATGCCCGAGAGCATGCGTTGAGGAGCAGTGGGAGGGTGATTTCGGCCAAGGGAATTAAGTTGCAAAAGGAGGCTGGGTGCATTAAAACTTGCAATCCCGCCTGGGGCAAAGGACGTGGGCGGGCGGAGAGATCTGTTGCAACCCCCTCTCTCCCCCAAAGTGGAGGACGGGCCGGGAGGCAGAGACGGGGCCCCAGGTGGACGCGGATTCGGTCCACCTGTCCCTTTAAGAAAGTTGCGCCCGCGCGGGCTGGCGCGCAGCGGGAGGGGGCTGCGGAGCGGGGCGCGGGGCGCCTCCACCTGCTGGGGCCGCGAGGGGGGGCCCGGGCCCAGCGCGGCGGCGAGGCGAGGAGGGCTCCCCGGGACTGCGCGCTGCGCCCCCCTGTCCCGCGAGGAGGGTGAGCCCGCCCGGAGCGAGTGCGGCGGGGCTCGGCGGCCCCGGCAGCCGCGACGACGGCGACGGCGGTGGCGGTGGCGGTGGCGGCGGCGGCGGAGGCGGAGGCTGCGGCGTTCGGGGTACGGCGCCGCGAGCCCAGCGCAGCCGTTGGGGGCAGTGGCCCGCGTGTGCAACCGCGCTCCCTCCCTTCCCCGCCGCCCGGCCCGCGCCGCCGCTGCCCCGCCCCGCCTGGAGCCAGCCGCGGGAAAGGTGGCGCGGACCGCGGACGGCGGCGGGGCCCAGAGCGGGCAGAGGTCTCCACAGGCCCCTTAGGAGGCTTGGATGAGTTTGGTCCCCTGGAAAGTTTGCGTTTCTGGCGCCCTAACTCTCAAGCCTCCGTTGCAGTAATTGCCACGGCAGCAACGATATTAGGCACGGCTACCCCCATTCTTTCGTTACTTATTGACGCCTGCTTCTGGGTTCTTCTTCGCATCAGCCCTTGATGACATAGCATGGTCCTCCTTTTGCATGGGGGGAACCCAAAGCCCCGAGCGGCAGTGAGTGGGTCGGCGGCGCACGGGCAGAGCGCGGGCTCCCGCACCTCCCCAGCTCGCGTACTGCACGTGGACCTCTGCGCCGCCCCCACCGAGTGAGGCTCAGGCACCCGAAGCGTCTGGAGTTGTTTTGAGGCTGTCCTCGCGTTATCTACTTCGCAGCAGGCAGGGGACCAGTGTCCCCGCACCTGTGACTGTTTTTTTTTTTTTAAACCCAGTGTTTAAGTTCAGGAAGAACTCAGGGCTCCCCTGGACTGGGTGTGCCTGGATTTCAAGTTCTATTCAGGTGGGCTGTGACCTTGGCACTGGTCCATGTCCTCACAAATGGTTTTCTGGTAGCACCTGGACGTCCTTCCTCCTTTCTTCTCTGCCAGGAGTAAATAGATCAGCTTTCATTCTCTAGGGAGGAAAAAGATGTAGTTTACAGATGTTAGTTGAGGTCACAGTCATGAAACTTTCTCAGTTTTCATCTCCCGCGACCAGCATGTATTTAAAATGTGTGTTTTGACCGGTTAGGAAAGTGGTTTACATAGTTTATGTTGCTTTGAATGTCCCTGAATGACATATAATTAATTCACCAGTAAAGTTGTAAGCATTCAAAGCATTTGGGTTTATTTCTGTTAATCCTTCTTGGAGTTGTAAGGAAACGTGGGTGACTTGACAACCTCCTTGTGAGGTCACAGTCATTTTCATTAAGGTGTAATTTTATATCTTCAGAATGGTTTGGAAAGAAATTGTCTCTTCTGAAAGCTGATGGATTCAGTAAAGTTTTTAAAATAAAAGGCATCCAGTCTGTGAGTTCTGTAGACTCATGAAATATGGAAAAGAAAAGCAAGAATCCTTCACTAAAAGACAGCCCCTCCCACTAAAAAGGAGTGGGGTGGGAGGTTGAGGGTGTTGGGGAGGCCATTTAATTAAAAAATTGAGATTTTTGAGTTCACTGCTTCAGGCCTGGTTGGTAAAAATATTGCCACTAAAACACCTACTGCTACAAAACCCAGGGAACTTAACAAAAACACTGCTTTCGCTTTGTTAGATCAATCTGTTTTTCCCTTATATAAATACATGGCATTTTTCAATTGTAGTAGGTCACCTGGGGTGAAATCAGAACCATAAAATGCAAGGCTTAGGAATCTTTATTTTTTAATAAGTGCCTCAGGTGATTTTATGGTCAAGCAAATGAGGACACCTGTACTAGGTGATGCTTTCACTGAGCTAAAGGCGGCCAATACCCACCTTTTTTGTTTTGTTTTGTTTAAATGAAAGAATGTGAAATTCACCTGCGTCCATAGCTTCATTACACATTATCATTTGCTCCGGTGTAGGGAGAGGATCCCAGGCCTTATATTGGTCCTGATTTCTTCAGATTCCCTATTAGCACGATTTCTACGAGGCCCAACACAAACCCAGTTTACCAGACCTCCGATTATACAAGAAATCTTGCAGAAGAAAGAAAAAGCAATAGGTATGTGGCTTTGGCTTTCCTTTCCAGTTCTATGCAGTGGAAAATGCTCTAATCTGCGTCTTGGTTGCTTAGGTTTGATAGTTAAGCAGTGTAGTTATCTGCCTGATCTGTTATCTGCATGGTCTGTTCAAAGCTAAGATGCCCATGGCTATGTAAGAAATATTTGTTCATGATGCTGATAAGCTTATAAATCAACTCAGTCATAACTGGGAACACCAGTTCCTCACATGCAATGTGTAGAAACAGTGTTTGTACTGAAGGATTAAGAGTATTAACTCACTTGGCAAGCTGAAAGCAGGTTTTATTTGATCAAGAAGTTCAGTTTTTTTTTTTGTTTGTTTGTTTGTTTTTGAGATGGAGTCTCGCTCTGTCATCTAGGCTGGAGTGCAGTGGCATGATCTCGGCTGACTGCAAGCACCACCTCCCGGGTTCACGCCATTCTCCTGCCTCAGCCTCCCGAGTAGCTGGGACTACAGGCGCCTGCCACCACGCCCAGCTAATTTTTTGTTTTGTTTTGTTTTGTTTTGTTTTGTTTTAAGTAGAGACGGGGTTTCACTGTGTTAGCCAAGATGGTCTCAATCTCCTGACCTCGTGATCTGCCCGCCTCAGTCTCCCAAAGTGCTGGGATTACAGGCGTGAGTCACCACGGCCCGGCCTAGAAGTTCAGTTTTATTATCAGGTCATGACCGTTTCTTCTCCTTTTTCCCAAGTCCTTGGCTTTTGCTTTGCTTATTGGTCTAGTTTTCCAATGGTGAGGAGGAAAAGGGAGTGAGGTCTGGAATATGTGATTTGTAGTAATGATCAGGTCTCTTTCTTTGACCCTGACCGCTGGCTTGGTCTAGTGAACTGCAGGGCATGTCTATGAAGCAGAAATACCAAGGTTTTTTTTGTTTGTTTTTTGTTTTGTTTTGTTTTTTTTTTTTTTAACTTGAACCATTAAATTAGAACCCTCCAGGGCCATGGCACCCTGGGCTGTGTCTGGCACATAGTACCCTGGAGATTTATAGGCACTTTTTTCCCTTGCTTTGTCAATTCCTAAAAGCTAGGTGATATTTTCTTATAAGAAAGTTCTCAATGGAGGCTGGGTGTGGTGGCTCAGGGCTGTAATCCCTGCACTTTGGGAGGCCGAGGCGGGTGGATGCTTGAGCTCAGGAGTTCGAGACCAGCCTGAGCAACATGGTGAGACTTTGTCTCTACAAAAAAAATAAACAAAAAATTAGCCAGGCATGGTGGTGCATGCTTGTAGTCCCAGCTACTTGGGAGGCTGAGATGGAAGGATTGCTTTGAGCCCCTGGAGGTTGAGGCTGCAGTGAGTTAAGATTGCACTACTGCACTCCAGCCTGGGCAACAGAGTGAGAACCTGTCTCAAAAAAACAAACCAAAAAAAACCCCACAAGTTCTCACAGGAGAGTTTATCCAGTGCCCCCTCTCCAAGGTGCATGCCAGTAATTTCGAATTCTGGTTTCCTAAGATGTACAGTTCCGTGGCACTGTGGAGCCGCCATTTAATGTCCAACAACAACTTCAGAAGATGGGAGCACAGATTATTTTTTTCCCCTTTAGGAGACCATGAAAATACACTGGTCATTGATCTCCGCTGCTGTTAGCATGACTGATATGTGTATGATCATTCTTTGGGAGTGCGATTGCAGAAGAAATGCTTATTGTTGTCATATGTCTTATTTAATAAGAGGATGCTAAACCCTTGGATGTTTCCGGGAAGGGAATGCTCTAATGTCTTTGCACATTTGTGATATCATCCTACAACCTCAGCCCAGATCCAGGTTCATCACTGTTCTGTTCTACTTCCCAGAAAAGTGGACATAGCAGCTAACAAAATCAAGCCTGTTATGGACTATGATCCACAAATGTGCACTGGGCAAGTTGCAAGAGCATTTTTTTTTTAATTCTTTTCCATCCTTTTATAATAACCTCATTTAATTTTGTGATGGTTTTAGTCAATATGTCCAGGCATTCCTTTATGAAAAGTGTTTTCTTTGGAGTTTTTTGTTTCTCGTTTTTTTAGACGGAGTTTCGCTCTTTTTCCCCAGTCTGGAGTGCAGTGGTGGGATCTTGGCTCAATGCAACCTCTGCCTCCCCGGTTCAAGTGATTCTTCTGCCTCAGGCTCCTGAGTAGCTGGGATTACAGGCGCGCACCACCATGCCTGGCTAATTTTTGTATTTTTAGTAGACACGGGGTTTTACCATATTGCCTAGACTGGTCTAGAACTCCTGACTTCAAGTGGTCTGCTCGCCTTGACCTCCCAAAATGCTGGGATTACAGGCGTGAGCCACCATACCTGGCCTTTTTTACTTTTTTTCTTTTTTCTTTGTCTTTTTTTTTTTTTTAAGCTTTTTAAAAAAAAAAATCTGGGCTGTCTCTTGGCTGGTATTACTGAATATCTATCTCCATTGTTATGCTGCTCATTGATACTCACCAGGCCCTGGAAAATTCTGAGCTACCTTCTGAATCATCAAAGACATAACAAATTGGCATCATTTTAACCTTAAGCATGTTTTATTGTTGGCTAGTGAATAATCCATGATATATTAACACAGTGATTCCATATGAATTAGAATATTTGCTCAAAACCACCCATTCCCTGCTGCTAGCAGGCTCTTTCAATAGGGTGACAGCCCTCTAGGAAAAGGGCTTCATGATGGCTCCGCTGTGAGGCAGACCAGGTTCAAGTCTCAAAGCTGTCCCTCCCCTAGTCCCCCTGGCTGAGTGTTTCTGGACAAGTTATTCCCTGCATCCTCACTTCCCCATCTCTCAAAAAGGAATACCACCACTCATCTTTCAGGGCTCTGAGAGGCTTAAAGACAGCACCTGATGCTAGAAGGTGCTCAACAGGCAACAGCTATGTTTCCAGGTGATTGTTTCTAAAGGCGCTTCTCCTTGTTCTGTAGCTACATGGGCCCAGAAAAAGTAAAGAATAATCAAGTTGGCTGGGCTCACACCTGTAATCCCAGCACTTTGGGAGACTGAGGTCAGCAGATCACTTGAGCCCAGGAATTCGAGACCAGCTTGGGCCACATGGTAAAACCCCATCTCTACAAAAAAAATACAAAAATTAGCCAGCTGTGGTGACGTGTGTCTGTAGTTCCAGCTACTCAGGAGGCTGAGGTAGGAGGATCGCTTGAGCCCGGAAGGCAGAGGCTGCAGTGAGCCATGATCGTGCCACTGCATTCCAGCCTGGGCTACAAACCAAGACCCTGTCTCAAAAATAAAATAAAAAATATTCAGGGCCCTTGTCTTCTGCCCTGAATCCATTACCTCACCCAATTTAAGATCTTGCCTTCATTTTCCATCAGGAAATTCCATTCACCAATCACCAATCAAGGAAAAGCTGTCTTGCCTCTGAATTCTATAGCTGATTGAATTTGGCCACTTTGTGTATCTCTTTTAGTGTTATTTTCTCATATCGTGCAGGATTATTGCTCTAGCCATTGGACCTATGTTATAGGTGCATTTATATATAATTCCATATCTAATCTGGGTCTACATTATTAGACTGGGACTATTACTCTATTCTGTATTCTATTTTCTTTGTATGTGATTTTCTATTTTTTCAAATCAGGGATCCTGAGCCAGGGATCTACAGGCCACATTCAGCCACAGACAGGCTTTGTTTGGCTCACAGGTTTTCTTTTAAAATTTTTGAATTAGATGCTAGAATTTTTAAATTCTACACGTTGGGGTTTTTTCTTTAAAAATCGAAAAGTTGGCCACACTAGGCCCACGATCCCTCAAGATAGCTATCAGCTGGGACCAAGTGCAGCTTGCCTCCTGTTACAGGGCTGGTCCCAGGGTTTTCAGTATGCCCCAGACCCTACCAGTCCTTATCACCCAATCCCAAGACTTGGGCCTTTGCCATTTTTCTTGGAACATGTCTTTCTTTGGTCTTATAATACAGTGAAGACAAAAATAAAATATCTTCTGTGTCTGTGTTGCTATCAAAATTTCAAAAATTGTCAGTAGCTAATACAAAGAATGAGTTATCCTCTCAAACAGCTTACTCTGCCCAACGAGGTGCTAAGTTCTATACATCTCGTTCTGACTTCCTGATGATGCTGTGAGGTGGGTGTTTGGTGCTTTTGCTTTCTTTAGGTTTGATTTCAAATAAGTATATTCTTCTTTGTAATATATTTTGAAATTCATGGTAACTCTTGATTAGAATAATATCTTTTATGGAATAAACTAAGACAAAAATAAGAGTGTTACATGAAAATGCATAATTCCTCTGCATGCTTCAAGCCACCTCTTTTTTATGTCACAGATTGATTTGGGTGGGTGGGGGGGAGCTCTTCCTTTGTCCACAAAAGGGCCTTTTTAAATAGTTCATTGCTCAACTGAGAATCCAAACTTGTACTTTTCACTGCAAACAGCTTTATCCTGCAAACACCCAGCAACCGTGAGTGGTTTTAAAGAACTGCTTAGAGAACTTTCTTTCAGTCTTACTACTATTGTGTGTTCGGATCATGCTCCCCAGTAACAAAAAGCAGCGTGTTCACTCACCAACAGCCCATTCCCAAGATTCTAGATGGGGCCTTTCCCATCTCTTCCCATTTGTGTCTGAAGTGAGGTGAACGTGAAACCAGGGCGTATAAACTTGTTCCAATATAGCACTCCCCAGATACTTGCCTCATAACAATCCTGGCTGTTTGTTTTAGAAATGGTAATGTATCATTGTAACAAATTATACTTAAAAATCATTTAGTGTGAAATTGCAGATTAATCCCATAGGGATGGGGTATTAACAATCCCCCAGCCTTTTGGAGCATACAGATGGTGAATCTAGGGTTTACAATAGGAACAATCGCTGATTACATGCATGGGTGTAACGGACAAAAAGACCCCCACAACTTGGGCCTGGAGAATACGGTGGAGGTCCTAGCGCCTGACTTGTTTGGGACCCTCGGGTCCCTAAGAATGTGTTTCATCATCTTGCATATGTGAAATTCTGCAGTCTGTTCTGTGAGCTTTGAAACCTACCAAGTGCATATATAGAAATGTTCTTTCAGTGTGCTTAGCTTTTGTGCTTAGATTCCATTTGAATTTGTTTAAAGAGCAACTGCACAGTGGAGGAGGCAGTGAGGGTTTGGTAGATGTGCTTTGCTGATAGTTCATTATCAAAACCATACCTGCAGATTCACTAATCATCAGGAAGGAAGTTGTCATGCATTGCATGAGCTGGGATGTGTTGATTGCCTCAAAAATTAATCTGCCCTTGAGATGAAAAGGACTGACTCTGAAATACAATTCTCCTGATTTTGAAACTGTCACTTGCCTGACTCACTGTAAACTCCATGACATGCTTGATGTTGAGAATGAAAATGGCACACTTATACGCACAATCTTGAATGCAGATCACTTTACAGTAGTGGCCAGCCAGTATGTGCTGGAGACTGAAATAACCAAGTAATAAGTCTGTTTCTATTTAAATAATTTAATTTTTTAGAGAAACAGTGTCTCATTACCCAATTGTTCACTAAAAATTTAAATCAGAGAGTAACCATTTCGATAGTAATTTAAGTTCAAGTAAGTTCTCCTAATCTCTATTTGATTTCAGATGCAAAGATGAGAAATAACTTTGCAGTCAGGAGAATATATTCTCAGAGAAAAATACACTTCCCCTGGCCTTTTTCAGGGCTTCTCAAGAAACCCTTTATTCCAATGAACTGTTGTTTATCCTAAGTATTATTTTTCCACCCACCTTTTTGATGTAGGGCTCACAGCAACATAAAAGTACAGGCAATGTTGCACCTGAATGTCTGTGTCTGGCTGAAGACAGAGCTTTGTTTCCTTTTAGGGATACAGCCTCCACTCTGGTTTTAAGGCTTATCCCTGAACCCAGCCAGGGATTTGGGACAGCGTTGGACCAGCTGAGTATTAATGACAGTGTCCTCTCTATTGGGCCAAGTAATTACCCTCCCAGAAGGGCTTTACAGCTCTGTCTTGAGAGGATGCTTGTAAGCTTCTCAGGGTAATTCTAGAGGTGCTGTGCAACTGGTCCTCGTTTCAACTGTGTCTCTCAGGCACTGGGTCTGGATAACATCTTGTTCAGAATGACCAGGGTAGCCTTTGTCGTCATGGTTATCAATGACATTTATGACATTATGCAGCAAGATTTATTCCCTGGAAAAAGTCTGTTCTGTCAGGTTTAAAACGTACATTAAAGTATCGAACAAAACATATAGTTGTTGGTACATAGCTTAAAAAAGCAAGGAGTGGTCAAAGCTGAACAAATTTAGGTTATAACCCAAAGTATAAAACAAGTATCTGTGAGTAAATGCTGATTAAAGAAATATTTACATGGAGGAGAAGTAACAAATATTTCTTAGAATCCCAATGTAACCATATTTCTTATGCTACATTAGAACAAGTTTATATTTATTATAAAATAAATATTTCTTAGAAAAGAATTTATAAATATTCCTTATAAATGTAGCTGCTCCTTCCCCTAGGAGGTAGAGGCTAATTTTCCCTTCACTCCTTCCCTTCACTGTTTGGCTGGTCTTGGTGATTGGCCTCCAAATAACAGAGTATGGAGAGGAATAAAAAGTAGCTTTGCAGTGGAGCAGGCTGGCACACATGACCTTGACCAAGTGATAAAAGTTAAGGTCAGCAGCACTGTCAGTGGCTCTCATGCTTCCCCAATAAATGATGAAGGCACAGAGGTGCTTCACCTCCATGCTATTCTTCCCAAAAATCTATAACCCCAGTCAACTCATGAGGAAAAACATCAGACAACCCCAAGTTGAGGCACATTCTACAATAGACTGGACCAACACACTCCAAAATTGTCAAGGTCATGAAAAACAAGGAAGCAGGAGACACTGTCCCAGACCAGAAGCGACTGGGTGGGCATGAATGCAGTGTGGTGCCCTGGGTTGGATCCTGCAGCAGGAAGAGAACATTTCTGAGGAAGGTGGTAAAGTCCAAATCAAGTCTGGAGTTTACATAGGAATGTGCCAAAGTGGATGTCTTACTTGTGAGAAATGTACCATGGTAATGTGAAATGATGGGCGGGAGTGAGGGGAGGGGAAATCAGGTGCGAGGCATTTGGGAACTCTCTGCGTTTTTGGTTTTGTTTTTTTTTTTTTTTTTTTTTTGCAACTTTTCTGTCATTCTAAAATCATTCAAAACCAAAAAGTGTATTTAATCAAGAAAATGATACATCCATGTTCTAAGCGTATACCCAAAACAATGGAAAGCAGGATCTCAAAGAGATATTTGCATACTCATGTTCATAGCAGCATTATTCACAATAACCAAAAGGTGGAAGCAACCCAACAACCCAACTGCCCATCAACAGATGAATGGATAAACACAACGTGGCTTCTCCATGCAATGGAATATTCAGTCTTAACAAGGAAATTCAGGCACGTGCAAGAGCATGGATGAACTTTGAAGATGTTACACTAAGGGAAATAAGCTAGTCACAAAAAAGGCAGACTGCATTATTCTACTTATATGAGATACACACAGTAGTCAGACTCAGAAACAAATTAGAATGGTAGTTGTCAGGGGGCTGGGGGAAGGGAAAAAATGGGAGTGCTTGTTTAATAGATATAGAGTTTCTGATTTTCAAGATGGAAAAACTTCTGGAGATCTGGTGCACAAGGTGAATGTAACACTAATGAACTGTACACTTAGAATGGGTTAGTTGGTAAACAATGTTAGGTGGTGGTGATGGTGGTATTTTTTTACCACAGTTAAATCAAGGAAATGAGTATAACAATTATACAAGTTAGGAAAACCTTTGCTTGCCATGAGAAAGGTCTATGGCAAAGTTCTCAGTCTTGGTGTTAAAGACATTTGGGGCTGGATGATTTTTTGTTTGGGGGCACTTTCTGGGTGTTGTAGGATATTTAGTGGCTCCCTGGATTCTAGCCACTAGATGTTAGATGTTGCCCACATCATAACGAGCAAAACTACCTCCAGATAATGATAAATGTTCCTTGGGGCTCAGGAGCAAAATTGCCCCCAGCTTAGAACCACTGGCCTTAGAAGACTGGAGAGGAAACAGAACAGATTGTTTTTGTTTTGTTTTGTTTTGTTTTGAATTACTAAATTGGCTAGACTTTCATTGTCTAATATGGTAGCCATGAACCATACGGGGCTATGTAAATTTAAAATAAAATTTATTGGCCAGGCATAGTGGTTTATGCCTGTAATCCCAGTGCTTTAGGAGACTGAGGTGGGAAGATCACTTGAGCCCAGGAGTTTGAGACCAGCCTGGGCAACTGAGAGATTGTCTCTACAAAAAATAAAAATTAAAAATAGCTGGGCATGGTGGGAGGTTCCTGTAGTCCCAGCTGCTTGAGAAGCAGAGGTAGGAGGATCACTTGAGCCCAGGAGTCTGAGGCTGCAGAGAGCTATTATTGTTCCACTGCACTCCAGACTGGGTGACAGAGCAAGACCCTGTCTCAAAAGAAAAAAACGGGCCAGACGTGGTGGCTCACACCTGTAATCCCAACACTTTGGGAGGCCAAGGTGGGGGGATCACTTGAGGACAGGAGTTCCAGACTACCCTGGCCAACATGATGAAACCCCATCTCTATTAAAAATACAAAAAAAAAAAAAAAAAAAAAAGCCAGGTGTGGTGGCATGTGCCTGTAATCTCAGCTATTTGGGAGGCTGAGGCAGGAGAATCACTTGAACCCAGGAGGCAGAGGTTGCAGTGAGCTGAGATCGCACCACTGCACTCCAGCCTGGGCAACAGAGCATGAATCTGTCTCAAAAAAAAAAAAAAAAAAAAAAAATTGCTTTTGTATGTGAAGAAAAGTAAGCTGAGTTATTGCCTCATCTCATATACAAAGGTAAATGCTAGAAGGGTTTAGAAGACAAACTGTAAAAGGATTAATATCAATCTGAAACAATATATAGGAGAATATTGGGAAGGACTTGTTAAAGAAGATCCTCGGCTGGGCGTGGTGGCTCATGCCTGTAATCCCAGCACTTTGAGAGGCCGAGGCGGGTGGATCACGAGGTCAAGAGATCAAGACTGTCCTGGCCAACGTGGTGAAACCCCATCTCTACCAAAAATAACAAAATTAGCTGGGCATGGCGGCGGGTACCTGTAATCCCAGCTACTTGGGAGGCTGAGGCAGGAGAATTGCTTGAACCCAGGAGGCAGAGGTTGCAGTGAGCCAAGATCGTGCCACTGCACTCCAGCCTGGGCGACAGAGCAATACTCCATCTTAAAAGCCCTCAAAAACACAAATTAAGGGCATAAGTGGGTAAATCTGCCTGCATAAAAATTAAAGACTTATGTTCAACTAAGAATACCACACACAATAGACAGGTGACAGACTCAAAGATCTTTGCAATGTCTAAACCAGCCAGGGATTCTGCTCTAGACCTAGAATACAAATGGAAATACTGAGGCCAGGCATGGTGGCTCACGCCTGTAATCCAGCACTGGGAGGCTGAGGCAAGCAGATCACTTGAGGTCAGGAGTTCGAGACCAGCCTGGCCAATATGGTGAAACCCCCTTGTCTCTACTAAAAGCACAAAAATTAGCCGGGTGTGGTGACGGGCGCCTGTAATCCCAGCTACTTAGGAGGCTGAGGCAGGAGAATCGCTTAAACCCAGGAGGTGGAGGTTGCAGTGAGCCGAGATTGTGCCACTGCTCTCCAGCCTGGGCAATAGAGCGAGATCCCTCTCAAAAAAAAAGGAAACACTGCAAATCAATGGAAAAGATAGGAAACTCGTAGAAAAGGTCAGGTGTTCATATGACTGGACCATTTCCAGAATGAGAAGCTTACTGGCTAATAAACATTTGTGGTTAATCACTCTTCTATAAGCTCATCAAAAAATCAGATTAATATAAAATTAAACAACAGAATACCACTTTATATCCATCAAACTGGCAAAGATTGTACAGCCTGATAATACCACCTAATGGCAATGATACAGAGAAATAGACATACAGGGAAAATTGTAATGCACTTTTGAGGGACTGATGACTACAACCATTCCAGAAAAGAGTTTTGCAGAACACGATGTAATTACGCATGCAATGCCCTTATGACCACTCTCACCTCTGGCCATATACCCCCAAGAAATTGTACACAGGTCCCAAAGGGAACACATCTGAAGGTGTTCATCATGCTGTTGTCTGAGGCAGTGATGAGTTAGAATTGACCTAAATATCTATCCTTGGGGAAGTGGATGGGTTAGGCAAGTGGATCAAGCAGAGAGCCAGATATGAGCTGGCTCTCTTTATGGTCTTTAAGACCATAAAGATGTTTACTGCTATATGAAACACTTGCATATAAATTGGATCTGTCTTCTTTATAAAGATCTCCTGGAAGCCCCACCTAAACACTCCTCCATTAATCTTTGCCTGGAGCTGAAACTGGTTGCCTCTCCTAGCTCCAAGAGAGCCTTGAACGTCCAACACTTTACATTTCCAGCCTTTCAGAGACAAAGAACGAAGGGGTCCCTGCCTGGCCTCTGAGTCACCAGTCTGTAGTATCTACAATGCATTTCAAAATACTCAAAATATTAAGTGTTTTAATTTAACCGTATTAATGCATATTGATTTATACATATTTTCAGTGGGGTCACAGTTACTGCTTTTTGTTTGTTTGTTTGTTTTAGGATGTGGGACAAAGCCAAGTAATGTTCTTGCTTTAACTACACCTATAAGGCCAGGCATGGTGGCTCACGCCTGTAATCCCAGTACTTTGGGAGGCTGAGGCAGGTGGATCATGAGGTCCAGGAGTTCAAGACCAGCCTGACCAATATGGTGAAACTCTGTCTCTACTAAAATTACAAAAATTAGCTGGGTGTGGTGGCAGGCACCTGTAATCCCAGCTACTCGGGAGGCTGAGGCAGAAGAATTGCTTGAACTTGGGAGGCGGAGGTTCTAGTGAGCCAATATCACGCCACTGTACTCCAGCCTGGATGGCAGAGGGAGACTCCGTCTCAAAAAAAAAAAAAAAAAAAAAAATCACCCCTGTAATCCTAGCACTTTAGGAGGCCGAGGCAGGCAGATCACGAGGTCAGGAGATCGAGACCATCCTGGCCAACATGGTGAAACCCCATCTCTACTAAAAATACAAAAATTAGCTGGGCATGGTGTTGTGCGCCTGTGGTCCCAGCTACTCGGGAGGCTGAGGCAGGAGAATCGCTTGAACCTGGGAGGCAGAGGTTGCAGTGAACTGAGATCACGCCACTGCACTCCAACCTGGGCG
Organism: Homo sapiens; assembly: GCF_000001405.40. Lineage (NCBI taxonomy): Eukaryota > Metazoa > Chordata > Mammalia > Primates > Hominidae > Homo > Homo sapiens. The sequence goes on from NC_000012.12 coordinate 109,323,087, forward strand.
ACAGAGTGAGACTGTCTCAAAAACAAAAAACAATACCCATAATGAAATGTCTGTAATTCCTAGGGTCAGTTTCTTTATTGTGGAATGGGGACTTAACACGTGCAAAGCAATTTGAGTACAGAATACCTTCTAGGTTTTTATCCTAGATCTTTTACAGTTTTCTCCCCTTACCAAATTTAATGGAAATTAACCCACAGGCTACATTCTCTTTGTAATACACATTGAAAGATGTCTATGCACTCGGGTTCCATTGGTTTGTCCGATGTTGAAATGAATTAATTAAAATAGCAAGTGTCATGGGCACAAAAACAGAACATCCTTGCATTTCTGTTCCCACCAGCTGAGTTGAATTCTTATGAGTCACCTGTGTTTGTTGGTGGGAACAGAAATGCACGGATGTTCTAGAGAGCCCTGTTTCTCAAACTTGCCAGCCTCACTTAGGTCCCTTGAGGATCTTATTAAAAAGCAGATTCTGTTTCAGTTAAGTCTGGGAGAGGATCTGGGATTTTTCATTTCTAAGTGCTCCCAGAGGGTACTGATGCTGCTGGCCCCAGACCTAAGGTAAGAAGGTTCTAGAAGGTCTGCTGTTTTTGACAGTTCAGCATGCCTGGTAGCATCAATGTGTCCAACAGGGTATGGAAAGCAGTAACGAGTCGGGGTTTGATTCATAGAGGTCAGTTAAGAACGTCTATTCCTTATTGCTTCAGTTACTCCTGGGGAGTAATAAACCACCCCAAATTTAGTGACATAAAATCACCCTTTTATTCTCACCAACTTGGTGAGCAAGGAATTCAGAAAGTGTATAATGGTTGGTCAGATGTGGTGGCTAATGCTTGTAATCCCAACATTTGGGAAGCTGAGGCGGGAGGATTCCTTGGGCCTGAGTTTGAAATTAGTCTGGGAAACATAGTGAGACCCTGACTCAAGAAAAAAAAAAAAAAAGTGTTCAACAGAGCTGGCTTGTCTTTGGTCTTCAATGTCTGGGACCTCAGCTAGGAAGACCCCAAGGCTGGGGTGGGAGTGACTTGATAGTTGATCTCAAGTCATACTAAGACTCACTCTCATGCCTGGCTCCTGGACTCGGGGCACTAAAGGATGAGGTCAACTGACCAGAATGCCTACAGGTGGCCTTTCCATGCGCTGGGCTTTCTTACAGCTTGGCGGCCTCAGGGGGCCACATGCTGCAATGGAAGCTCTGTCTTTAATCTAGCCCCGGAAGCCACACAGTGTCCCTTCTGCCACATTCTGTTGGTTACAAGTAAGTCACAAGCCACCTAGATTCAAGGGAGAGAGTTACACTCTACCTTTTGATAGGGGAGTGGCAAGATGTAGAACAAGTGGGATGGGAGATACTGTTGTGAATGTCTTTGGAAAATCTAATCTGCCTAACTTATTTTATAAGCTTCCCCCTGCCATGATTAAGATGCTTTTGACAAAACACCACACCTCTTCAATGTGTCTCTTAGGTATTAAAATTGTGTAATTGATATTAGGGTCTAAAATTCTGCTCAGGGAGCCAAGAGTGAAGATAATGGGTGAACACTGATTTCTTTCTACATTTGTTACCTTATCTGAGAAAGAAAGTCTCAGTTCTCATTTCTTTTTCTTTTTCTTTTCTTTTTTTTTTTAAATTTTACTTTAAGTTCCAGGATACGTTTGCAGAATGTGCAGGTTTGTTAAATAGGTATACATGTGCCATGGTGGTTTGCTGCACCATCCAACCCATCATCTAGGTTTTAAGCCCTGCATGCATTAGATATTTGGCCTAATGCTCTCCCTGTCCTTTTCCCCTACCCTCCAACAGGCCCTGGTGTATGATGTTCCCCTCCCTGTGTCCCTGTGTTCTTATCGTTCAACTCCCATTTATGAGTGAGAACAAGTGGTGGTTGGTTTTCTGTTCCTGTGTTAGTTTGCTGAGAATGATGACTTCCAGCCTCATCCATGTCCCTGCAAAGGACATGATCTCATTCTTTTTATGGCTGCATGGTATTCCATGGTGTATATGTACCACATTTTCTTTATCTAGTCTATCATTGCTGGGCATTTGGGTTGGTTCCAAGTCATTGCTATTGTAAACAGTGCTGCAATAAACATACATGTGCATGTGTCTTTATAGTAGAATGATTTATAATCCTTTGGGTATATACCCAGTAATGGGATTGCTGGATCAAATGGTATTTCTGGTTCTAGATCCTTGAGGAATTGCCACACTGGCTTCTACAATGGTTGAACTAGAACAAGCGATGGGGAAAGGATTCCCTATTTAATAAATGGTGCTGGGAAAACTGGCTAGCCATATGCAGAAAACTGAAACTGGAACCCTTCCTAAAAATATCTTATACAAAAATTAAGATGATTAAAGACTTAAGTGTAAAACCCAAAACCATAAAAACCCTGAAAGAAAACCTAGGCAATACCATTCAGGACATACGCATAGGCAAAGACTTCATGACTAAAACACCAAAAGCAATTTCAACAAAAGGCAAAATTGACAAATGGGATCTAATTAAAGAGCTTTTGCACAGCAAAAAAAGCTAGCATCAGAGTAAACAGGCAACCTACAGAATGGGAGAAAAATTTTGCAATCTATCCATCTGACAAAGGGCTAATATCCAGAATCTACAAGGAATTTAAACAAATATACAAGAAAAACCCATCAAAAAGTGGGCAAAGGATATGAAGAGACCCTTCTCAAAAGAAGACATTTATGCGGCCAAGAAAACATGAAAAATAGCTCATCATCACTGATCATTAGAGAAATGCAAATCAAAACCACAATGAGATACCATCTCACGCCAGTCAGAATGTCTATTATTAAAAAGTCAGGAAACAACCAATGTTGGCAAGGCTGTGGAGAAATAGGAACGCTTTTACACTGTTGGTGGGAGTGTAAATTAGTTCTCATTCTTTAAGGCTTACACAAGACCATCCCTGATAGCAGTTCTTCGGTATTGGGTAAAGGCCCTGTCTAGAAGATATTTTCTGTGGTCCAAGGAGACTGCTATCTGAGGCCCTGTCAGCATGCAGCAGTGCTTACCTGAAGAGGTGAATCAGACTTCTCGGGCACAACCTGCTGGCCTGCCGGTGCCTGTCCAGGCATCCTCCTCATCCACCAGATGAATGATTCCATCACTGTCCAGTTGCCCAGGGCCCCAGAAGTTTGTATGTTTCTAGATCACTTCCTGCTGCATCCTCTCTCCCTACTTCCATGCTGTCTGTCATCCCTTCTTGGTCTTTCTTCTCCCATTCCCAGGCTAGTGGGTCTTGGGAACACACCATTCCTCCACATGGGGGATGAGGAAGGAACTCTTCATCCATGCTACCCCACATTCTGTTGGTTACAAGTGAGTAACAAGCCACCTAGATTCAAGGGAGGGAATTAGACTCTACCTTTTTTTTATATTTTATTTTATTTTATTTTATTTTATTTTATTTTATTTTATTTTATTTTTTGAGACAGCATCTCACTCTGTTGTTCAGTCTGAAGTGTAGTGGCACAATCTTGGCTCACTGCAACCTCCGCCTCCTGGGTTCAAGCAATTCTCCTGCCTCAGCCTCCTGAGTAGCCGGGATTACAGGCATGTCACCATCCCCGGCTAATTTTTGTATTTTTAGTAGACATGGGGTTTCGCCACGTTGCCCAGGCTGGTCTCAAATCCCTGGCTTCAAGCAATTCATCCACCTCGGCCCCCAAAGTGCTGGGATTACAGGCATGTGCCACCATACCCGGTCTAGACTCTACCTTTTGATGGGGGAATGGGCAAGGTTTAGAAGAGCAAGTGGGATGGGAGGCACTATTGTGACCATCTTTGGAAAATCTATTCTGCCAAACTTATAAACTTTCCCCCCACTCTATGAATAAGATACCTTGGACAAAATACACCTCTTCAATACATCTCTTAGATATTAACACTGTTATTACATTAGAGTTTAAAATTTTGCTCATGGAGCAAGGAGGAGGAGGGAACTCTTCCTTTATGCTACAGTAGAATGTGTCCCCAGCTCCTGTAGTTATTTAATTTTTCTTTTCTTTTTCTTTTTCTTTTTCTTTTTTTTTTTTTTTTGAGACAGAGTCTCCCTCTGTCACCCAGGCTGGAGTACAGTGGCTCAATCTCAGCTCCCTGCAACCTCTGCCTCCTGGGTTCAAGCAATTCTCTGCCTCAGCCTCCAAAGTAGCTGGGATTATGGGCACCCACCACCATGCCTGGCTAATTTTTTTTGTATTTTTAGTAGAGATGGGGTTTTACCATCTTGGCCAGGCTGGTCTTGAACTCCTGACCTTGTGATCCACCCGCCTCGGCCACTCAAAGTGCTGGGATTACAGGCGTGAGCCACCGTGCCTGGCCTTCTGTAGTTATTTTAAAAAGGAAGAAAAAGTGCTGGCTGGGTGCGACGGCTCACGCCTGTAATAACTGCACTTTGGGAGGCCGAGGGTGGATCACTGAGGTCAGGAGTTTGAGACCAACCTGGCTAACACGGCAAAACCCTGTCTCTACTAAAAACATAAAAATTAGCCAGGTGTGGTGGCAGGTGCCTGTGATCGCAGCTACTCAGGAGGCTGAAGCAGGAGAATCACTTGAACCCAGGAGGCAGAGGTTGCAGTGAGCAGAGATTGTGCCACTGCATTCCAGCCTGAAAGAGCAAAACTGTCTCAAAAAAAAAAAAAAAAAAGAAAGAAAAAAAAGAAAAAGTGCCTCTTCTGCCTGATGTGGTGTCTCCAAAGTGCTTTCTTCTAGAATTCAATTCAACCTAAAAATATTCTGGTCACTCGTAACTTAACAATAGCATAATAATAACTAGCATTTATTGACTGTTTGCTCAGTGCTGGGTCCTGTCCCAAATGCTTTCTATGCATCAACTCTTTTTAGACTCCAAAAGTATTTTAGGCTGATTGCATTGTTTGATATACCACTTAGAATTATTTAAAACTCAGAAGAAGGATGGTGATAGCTAAAAAGTCCCATCGTAGCTGCTTCACTATTGTCAAGATGTTTTGGTCTCTGAGTAAAATTCTGAGAATAATCATTGGGGATCATAACACACACACACACACGCATATATATATATATGCGTGTGTGTGTGTGTGTGATGCCTATGTGATTTACCTTAGTTTTTTTAAATTGGGGTGAAATTCTCATTACTGTAAAATTAGGTATTACCAAGTGAACAATTCAGTGGCATTTGGTACATTCACGATGTTGTGCAAGCAACATGCATTAATTCTTAATCCTTAGAACAAGCCTATGAGAGAGATGCTATCAGTACTCCTTTTATTTTATCTTATTTTTTAAGAGATGGGGGTCTTGCTTATGTTGCCCAAACTGGTCTTGAACTCCTGGGCTCAAGCGGTCCTCCCACCTCAGCCTCCCAAAGTGCTGGGATTACTGGTTTGAGCTGTTACACCTGGCTTTAGTATCCCTTTTAAACTGATGAGACAACTGAGACACTGTGCAGTTACAGAATAGGTCACAGAGCTAGGCTGTGATAATGCTGGCTCTGAACTTTTTGTTCCTTTCCCCTTCTGCATTTCATGCATTTTAATAAATCCAAAATAACATTGAAACTATAAAAAGAACATCTCTAAAAATGGATTTTCTTCTAATGTCGTTTTTTCCTGTTTTGCAGAGACATATCTTTTTACCTATATTTTCGCTAAATATTGTATCACAAGTATTTTCTTTTTTCCAGCTGTATTTGAGGTATTATTGACACATAAAATTGTATATGTTTAAGGTGTACAATGTGATGTTTTGATATACAAATATCTTGTGGAATGATTAGCATGATCAAGCTAATTAACACATTCTTGAAATTCGCTGGGAGAGTAGACCTTAAATGTTCTCAGCACACATAAAAAGTGGTAACTGTGTAAAGTGATGAGACTTTTGTTCCTAACAGTTGTGGTACATCAGCTCCCAGTAAAATAAAATCAGTTTTCTTTTTTTTCTTTTTTTTTTTTTTTGCAAATCTGTCTATGTTTTTAGGAACCTCCTTTCTTTATATGCACAAACTCTGTTAATTGGATGGTATTTTCAGTTTTGTACCTGATCTTCTGTTCCACGTGTTTATTGTATATATCTGTGTAGTTTATATGGGCAAGTATGCCCTAGATTGAAAAACAGCCTGTGGCCCACTGCTTGTTTTTATAAGTAAAGTTTTATTGTACAGCCGTGTTCATTAGTGTACAATATTGTCCACGGCTGCTTTTCAGCCACAAGAGGAGAGTTGAGTAGTTGTAACAGCCCTTTATGACCTGGAAAGCCTAAAATATTTCCTGTCTAACTCTTCCCAGAAAAATTCTGCTGAACCTTGCCTTAGGTAGGGTTGCTTTCTCTCTCTTGGGCTTAGGAAGGTGAACAGAGAGGGAGAGAATCTTTCCAAGGGAGGCTCTGGAAAGAACAGATTAACCAGTCATCCTCAGTGGGTGCTGAGATGAATTTTTGACTACTCGGGGATTGTGAGCTAGCCTTTTGTTACTTCTTATGCTAGAAAATGATTCAAAGAAGGCTTAAATGCAGGTGGTTGAAATAGCTCATAAACCAGGAGCTGTCTGTAGATCTTTTGGTTCCTGCCTTCCCTGAATAATGGCTTTTCCTTTCACTTATTCAACTAATAATAATTAACCACCTGCCAGTGTGTGTTCTTACCATGATGCTGTGCTCCTTAAAAACAATTCAACCTCATACATCATGTGCCAATTATATGCCAGTGATTATGCCGAGGCCTTGACAATAGAACCTCCTACACACTTGGACGATAGTATGCATTTGTTCCTAGAATTCCACGTTGTGATCAAGGCCAAGCACTGTGGGTACAGCTGTGGATAGGACAGCCGTAGTCTCTGCTTTCAAGGAATTTATGGGGGAGGAGGCAGATGATGAGTAAGTAAACAAGTGAATGGCAAGATAACTTCGGGCAGCATGGTGGTGAACCGGACTGGGGGCCTGGGACAGAAAACAAACATTTGTGGCAAAACTGGTGAAATCTCAATCAAATCGGGAGTCTAGTTAATGGTAATGTTAATTTCATTTCTTAGTTGTTCCCAGTGTACCAGGTTAGGTGAGATGCTAACATTAGGGGAAACTGAGAGAGGGTATATGGAACTGCCTGCACTGTGTTTGCAACCTCTCTGTAAGTCTAAAATTATTCCAAATAAAGTGTGTGTGTGTAGATACGTGGATGAAAACATGTACACACACACATACATATATACATACACACATGAAGCTGGCTATACTTTTTCAGTATTTTTAAAGCAATTACTTAAATGATACTGTCGTTATTATAAAATTTTTAATAGCAACAGACATACCACTTGGCTAACGATGTATATCTGAATGTGCCTGATGGACACATGTCTCGCAAGGTTACTCCTGTGCTTTGGAAGCTAAGGAACTTCCCACTTCCTCATTTAATAACTGGATTCGTAAGGGCTTCGTAAGCTTGAGTGACCCATGCTTTGTTGCCAGGTCTATTCCAGTGACCCCTACCAAGACCCCTGTCCCAATTCGTATATCAGAGAAAAATGAATCTATTTCAGGAACCATCAGTCCTCATTATCTCTAATTGGGTCTGGCGGCTGGAGACAGGCCTCATTATTTTTAATTGGGACCCATAGTTCTAGAACGAAACACCACCCAGTTTCATGCAGATCATGCCTGGATATTTGCTTGCAAGTTCAAAGTGAAATTGCATTGTGGGATTTCCAGGAAATCACACTATTTTTCTGCCCCTTTTTTCCCCCAGCTAACTTTACAGTTGTCGTCTTGTGTCGTCAGACTAAAAATAATATTTGAATGGGGACTGTCCGTGTTTATGTCGGAGGGGTTTTTAGCATCTGGGTGGTGGTCATGTAGATTTTTCTTTCAAAATTAATGAATATGATAATACGCAGCAATTTGACAGATTGCTCACTTAAGTATCATTTACATACTGCTTTGGGCATGGCGTTATGCCACGGATAAATTTCCCTTGCTTAAAGACACTCATTTTTGCTCATTTTTCTAATTTACTGTAGAGCAGGCAATCCTTCACAAATATATATGCTTTCCTGTTTTTTCATCATTATCCTGATGTTGCTAAAATCAGTCAGCACCTGACGCAGGAAATTCATTTTAGAAAATCCATAGCAGAGTCTGTCTTCACTCACTCTTGATTAGAGTTTTTAGTTGTCCCAGCTCTCCTAATATTTTAACACTCCAAGGCAGCAACACATTCTGTTTTTAATTTTTAACATGCTCTTCATCCCACCACATAGACACTGACCTTTCTTTAACAAGCTTGAATGCTTTCCAAGGCCTTTTGGGGACTTGCTTCCACTCAAGGTAGAAGTTCTGAGATTTGGCATGGGCCGAATCCCTTGAGAGAGTAGGAACAGACTGGGGTGCGGTGGGGCGGGGGTGGGGTGCTGAGAGCCTGAGACATTTTGCCAAACATTCAGACACAAAGTCTGGGCCCTCCTCGGAGCCAAGAGCTTCTTGTAAGAAAAGAAGACCACCCTGGAAGGAGGACTTCGGGAGCGGTAGCTTTCACTCTTTGCTTCCTCAGGGACACTTTTTAGACCTTTCAGGAAAGAGAAAAAGGCTGGGGCAGTCATTCCAGGGAATGTGAGAAGATGGATGGGGCAGTGGTTCATCCCTGCAGTTCTCCCGTGCAATTACTCTCCCTCCTGCAAACAGCTTGAAAATGTAGCTCCTGCATGACAGCTGGAGATAAGCTGCTTTTGTCTAATTTGTTCCTAATGCTTTTGCATTTAGTGCAATTCTGCTGTGTGTATACAGCCTAACCCTGTCATGTTTGAGATCCTCTTGAAATCTCTTTTTGTCTCCAGTACAAAGATCAGATTTTGGTGCTGTGTGCCTTTGGGTAAGCTATTTAACTCCTCTATGCTTTCATTTCCTTAATTTGAGCACGGGAATAATGTTATAACACAATCTATCTCATGGGGTGTCGTAAGGAGCAAATGATTTAAAATGTATAAAATACTCAGCACAGTGTCTGGCAGAGAGCAAGTGCTGTACTGGGATTTGCTATCTAACAGAGAGCAGTAGGATTTTCATGAACCTCAGTCCATTTTAAGCCAACTCCCAAGCTTAAGTTAGAATTGGTCTGCTTACTTGGAAAACAATGTAGTATTTGGAAATTGCAGAAGTTCTAAAGTTAAAGGTGATATGTCTGCCAGACAGCTAGAATCCTCCAATAGTGGTCAGAGCCCAGAAACAGGAGATGGGAAGATGACCCCTTCTCTCCTGCCCTTTTCCCCAGGACCAGTTTTGTTTCATCCCGGGCTTGTGGCATTTTGGATGAAGGGGGCCTGCCTTCAGACACAAGCTCTTCTGGCCCTTCCTAGGGGCAGACATCCTCATGTAGGGCTCAGGCCTAAGGCTGGAAACCAAGAGCTCCTTGTGGCCACAGACCAAGTGCCCTTGTGGCCGTTCCTGTCAAGGTCATCCATCTGCAACTGCATTGTGCCCTGGTGCAGCTTTTCATTTTCATTTTTATTTTCTTAGAGGCCAGGGTCTCGCTCTGTTGCCCACGCTGGAGTGCAGTGGTGCAATCCTAGCACACTGCAGCCTCAAACTCCTGGGCTCAGGTGATCCTCTTGCCTCAGCTTCCTGAGTAGCTGAGACTACAGGCACATGCCACCATAGCTGGCTAATAATTAAAAATTTTTATTGTAGAGATGGGGGTCTCACTATGTTGCCCAAAACTGGTCTCAAAGTCTGGGGCTTAAGCAGTCCTCCTGCCTTTCTTCCCAAGGTGCTAGGATTACAGGCGTGAGCCACCGTGCCCAGCCTGGTGCAGATCTTAATGCACATTTTTCTACACAAATGTTCCCCAAAGGCCAAATTTGGTGCCAGGTTTTATATGCAGGTCGACATAATTTGTATTATGACCGCAATTCTATGAAGGTTTTCTTTGGACTTGTTCATTTAAAAAACAATGTAAAAACGCCGGGTGCCATGGCTCACACCTGTAATCCCAGCACTTTGGGAGGCTGAGGTGGGTGGATCACCTGAGGTCAGGAGTTTGAGACCAGCCTGGCCAACATGGTGAAACCCCGTTTCTTTTAAAAATACAAAAATTAGCCAGGCGTGGTGGCAGGTGCCTGTAATCCCAGCTACATGGGAGGTTGAGGCAGGAGAATCCCTTGAACCTGGGAGGCAGAGGTTGCAGTGAGCTGAGACCGCACCATCGCACTCTAGCCTTGGAGACAGGAGTGAAACTCTGTCTCAAAAAAAAAAGTTCAGATGTTACCTAGAGGCCTGAGGGAGCTTATGTTGCATCGTGTCCTCTCTGAGGACTCATGGTGCATGGATCATCCATTGCCTTCTCTTGCTTGTTTGTGCATTTGCTGGTTTTCTCTCCTTCTCCATAGGCACCAGTCTCCTCTAAGGTTCTTTCTCTCTCCATCTTTGCCTTTTCAGTCTAGTCCCTGCTGCCTTATTTGTCTCTAAGAGATGAACTGAGACTGCAACCAGAAGCACACAGGAACACGTGACTGTGGCCAGCATGAGGAGGGGTCCTAAGTGTGTGCCAGGGCCTGGAGACAGATGGTTCCTGACTTGCGATCCTTCAACTTAGGATCGTCTGACTTTACAATGACGCAAAAGCAATACACACCCAAGCATGCTCGTCAATTTATGATGCGGGTACATCTGGATGAATCCATCCTAAATTGAAAATATCAAGTGGAAAATGCACTTTGGACTTAGAATGTTTTCAGGTTATGATGGGTTTATCAGGATGTAACCCCATTGTTAAGGGGCACCTGTAGAAGTCACCTCATGAACCCTCCTACCAACCCAGGGAAATTTCATTGATTCATTTTATTTAGTTAGTTTGTTTATTTTAAATTTTATTTATTACTTATATATTTACTTATTATTTATTTGCTTATTTACTTGTTTATGTACTCATTATTTACTTATTTGTTTACTTTTTTTTTGAGACAGAGTCTCACTTTGTCGCCCAGGCCGGAGTACAGTGATGCAATCTCGGCTCACTGCAACCTCCACCTCCTGGGTTCAAGCGATTCTCCTACCTCAGCCTCCTGAGTAGCTGGGATTACAGGCATACACTACCACGCCCAGCTAATTTTTGTATTTTTTAAGTAGAGATGGGGTTTTGCCGTGTTGGCCAGGCTGGTCTCAAACTCCTGACCTCAGGTGATCTCCCTGCCCCAGTCTCCCAAAGTGACTGGCATTACAGGCATGAGCCACCGTGCCCAGCCCTACTTATTTGTTTACTTATTTACATGTTGGTTGGTTGATTGACAGGGGTCTTGCTATGTTGCTCAGGCTGGTCTTGAACTCCTGGCCTCATGCAGTCCTCCTGCCTCAGCCTCTCAAATAGCTGGGATTACAGGTGTGAGGCACCAGGCCCAGCAAGGAAATAGATATTATTATCCACATTGTTGTAGATGAGAAAATAAGGCTCAAAAAGGTTAAGCATCTAGGAAAGCCAGGACCAGATCCATTGAAATTGCCTGCTAAAGCTAGTACACTTCTCACAAGCTCAAGTTTCCTTCTCCTTTTTAGCAGGGTATTTTTCTTGTCTATGTATCTCGAAGCCTTTGTTTTACTTACAGATATTTTCCCTCTTCTTATATTTAGCATTCCTATTAGTTCTGTGATCAGTTTTTTCTTCTGGCTTGTTATTTGTGTTGCTTTTAAAATAAAAGCTTTATTGAGAGAGAATTCACATACCATAAAACTTGCCCTTTTAAAATGTACAATAGGTTGTAAAAGGGTAGTAGGTTTTAGTATATTCACAAAGTTATGAACTGTCACCACTATTTGAGAACATTTCTCTTCCCCCAAAAAGAAACCCTGTACCCATTAGCAGTCTCTCCCTTTTCCCCTCAGTCCCTGGCAACCAAGTAATCTATTCTGTCTCTACAGATTTTTGTTTCCATGGATTTGTTTATTCTGGAAATTTTATATAAGTGGCTTCTTTAGCATAATATCTTTAAAGTTCATCCATGTTGTAGCATGTAGCGATACTTCGCTCCTTTTCATGGCTGTATAATAGTCTATTATAATAATATGTCACATTTTATTTATCCATTTGTCAGTTGATGAAAATCTGAGTGGTTTCTGATTTGGGGCTATTATGAATAATGCTGCTGTGAATATTGATGTTTCTGGGGAGGCCTCAGGGAACTTACAGTCATGGCAGAAGGCAAAGGGGAAACTAGTGCTTCACATGGCCAGAGCAGGGAGCAGGTGTGGGGGGGTGCCATATACTTTGAAACAACTAGAGCTCGTGAGAACTATCGTGATGACAGCACCAAGGGGGATGTTGTTAAACTATAAGAAATTGCTCCCATGATTCAACCATCTCCCACCAGGCCCCACCCCCAGCATTGGGGATTACATTTCAACATGAAATTTGGGTGGGGACACCAGTTCAAACCCTATCCCCCGTCAATCATACTCTTTATTTTTAGCTATTACAATCTGTTTCTTCTTTTGTAAAAAACAAACAAACAAAAAAAAAACTAATATTTTGCCAGTTTTCAAAAATGCATTGACCTGTGAATTGGAATTGCATTAAATATATGTAAAATTATTTGGGGGATGATTGACATTTTTTATAATATTCAGTCTCTTCACCAGGAATGCTGAAGCCATCTTTTATCTCTCTTAGTAAAGTTTTATAGTTTTCTTTATAAGGCTCCTATGCATTTCTTTCCAATATTAGTGCCAGATATTTTATTGGCTATGTAGATGACATTTTCTTCCCATTTTCTGTTAATAAATCAATAGGCAATTTAAAAAATGTGTTTGTCTTATATTCAGCCACTTTGCTGAGTTTTCTCATTAATTCTAGGGACTTTTGCATGGTTTCCATTAGATTTTCTAAGCACATCATCCTTTCATCTTCAATCCTCTCCTTTTTCTTTTTTTTGTGACAGAGTCTTGCTCTGTTGCCCAGGCTGAAGTGCAGTGGCACAATCATGGCTCACTGCATCCTCAAACCCCTGGGCTCAAGCAATCCCAATCCTCTTAATTTTTAAAACCTTCAAGTGACACAGCAGTCAATGTTCCCTGACTCTTATATGAATCCATTTTGCTGTCCCTTGATGTTGTCTCTCAGGTCTCTTATTTCTACTTCTCCTTGTTCTTCCCAAGCCCTAAGACTCTCCTCCAGTCATAGACCTTTCCCTATTTAGCCCATTCCTTCTTCCTCACTTTTCAATCCACCTTGACAACTTCATTGCCTTCTAACCCCTGTTAACACCACATCTTCTGCAATCATGTCTGTATTCATTTAGAATGTTAGGGGAGAGAGAGAAGAAAAAGAAAAAAGTTCAACTCAAACTGGCTTGAGTATTAGACTGCACTTCTGAAAACACTTGGCTGGATCACGGGGTTCAATACTGACATCAGCACTTGGTCTTGTGCTCTCTCTCAGCTCTGTTTTTCCCTTGGTGGTTATTCTTAGGCAGATTCTCTCCTTAAGGTGGTCTCCACGTACTATAGGCTAAGTACCAACAGTTTAGCAATTTCAGTAGAAAAAAATAAGGACTTTTCTCTCTCAGACATTAAAAGAAAAAATCCAGAATGAACTGTTGTCAGAGTGCCTTGAGGCTCTAGTTAGTTAGTTAATTCCTGAACAATCCACTCTGGTTAAGAGGTGATACAGAACTCTGATTGGCCAGGCCTGGGTCACATGCCCAGTCCCCCACCAATTACTATGGTCAGAGATGGTGCAGAACTCTGACCAAGCCTGGGTCACATGCCCATTCCCGAACCAATTGCCATTGTCATAGGTGATAGAGTGCTCTGGGTCATGGTGCTTCTTTGAAGCATGGAGTTGTCTAACATGGGCCAAACATGGAGTTGGAGGCCTGGAGTCAAGGCAAAGGAAAACACACTTACTAGAAGGAGGGAGGCTGATGGGCAGAAAAAAACAGGAACCCACTACCCCATCCCAAAACTAAGACACTTCTAGAACCTCTCTTCTACCTTCCAGCTGGAACACAGTCGTTGGAGGGAAGGAAGGAAGCACAGAGATAAATGACAATGACTATGATACATTGTAACTTTTCATGTCCATTTTTGCTTCCAGGGGTTAAGAAACCTGAAAGCATTTTTTCCTGTGATTTCCAGAGAGGTTTTTTTCCCCTTTCTACTCTCAAAGAATTGAAACATTTGAAAGATATTAGCTTCATATATTCTTATAATTCAAATATGAGGAAGACCATAACTGTAGTAATGGCATGCCCACTCCCGGGGAACCATGCAGAGAGCTATCAGTGATAAATGTGAATCCCACCTCGATAGGATGTGTTAGTCTGTTCTCATGCTGCTAATAAAGACATAATGCAAGGCTGGGTAATTTATAAAGAAAAGAGGTTTAATTGACTCACAGTTCCACATGGCTGGGGAGGCCTCACAATAGGGGTGGAAACTGAAGGGGAAGCAAGACACGTCATACATGGCAGCAGGCAAGAGATCATGTGCAGGGGAACTCCGCTTTATAAAACCATCAGATCTAGTGAGACTTATTCACTATCACAAGAACAGCATGGGAAAGACCTGCCCCCATGATTCAATTACCTCCCACAGGGTCCCTCCCATCACACGTGGGGATTATGGGAGCTACAATTCAAGATGAGATTTGGGTGGGGACACAGCCAAACCATATCATAGGGGTTTGACTTCTGGAACCCTGCTTTTGGGAGGAGTGAAACCTGTTATGTACTCATTTGTGATCACAGAAGTTTTAATCTGAGGGTAGTACAATATGCACAAACCTAGCTGATCAAACCGTGAATTTTCCAACTCAGTAGACAGTTGGGATGTTTGGCAACGATTTTCTGAGATCTTTGTGAATGTATATGTGGATCTCTACATAGGTACAAAAAGCTCCCCAGACTTCAGCAAGGGTTTAGTTTAGGGGTTGTCTGTATCAGAAACTGGAAAGCTAAGAAAAAAAAGGGGAAATGTCTCCCAAATGCTTCAAATCATTTATTTGATGGATTTTTCGTTTTCGAGACGGTCTTGTTCTGTTGCCCAGGCTGGAGTGTGGTGGCGCCATTATGGCTCACTGCAGCCTTGAACTCCTGAGCTCAAGCGATCCTCCTGCTTTGACCTCCCAAAGTGTTGGGAATATAAGTGTGAGCCACTGCACTCAGCCTTTAAAACCATTTAGAATACCAACCCCTCATCAGACGAGACACTTTCAAGCATTGTACTTTAACAACCTAGAAAAAAGCCATAGGCCCAGTATTTCTCTTTCAACTAAAACTGTGTAGCTTGAATGGATGGCAACTCACAGGGCAAAAACAGACGTCTGAGGGCTGGCTTCTGACCACCCCTGTCTCTCCAAGGTCACATTTCCAGTCTGACCTCTCTTGGGTGTCTTGATCACATCTAAAGTTAATTTTCTGGCCAGGCATGGTGGCTCACACCTGTAATCCCAGCACTTTGGAGGGCCAAGAAGGGCAGATCACTTGAGGTCAGGAGTTAGAGAGCAGCCTGGCCAACATGGTGAAACCTTGTCTCTACTAAAAATACAAAAATCAGCCAGGTGTGATGGCACGCGCCTCTTATCCCAGCTACTCGGGAGGCTGAAGCAGGAGAATCACTTGAATCGGAGGTGGAGGTTGCAGCGAGCTGAGATTGTGCCACTGCACTCCAGCCTGGGTGACAGAGCAAGACTCCATCTCAAAAAAAAAAAAAAAAAAAAAAAAATCATTTTCCTTGCTTTCTGCTTCATTTTCTGCTTCACACCCATCTTGTTAGTTTCCAGAATTCTTAGGCCTCTGACCCTACATCCTGCCCTTATTTCTTGAAGTGAATTGATAAAGTCTTGTCCTTTTGCTGGGAAGCAATAGGGTTCCTGTTACGATGCTCAAGCTTACAGGAGGTTTTCAAAATCTTTATATTTTTCCATAAGAGAATAGTTTGTTCATAACACTGTATTGCTTCATATGTAAATTTTCAGGAGGAAAGAAGTGCTTCTCATTAAAAAATTAACATTTCCGGCCAGGTGCAGTGGCTCATGCCTGTAATCCCAGCACTTTGGGAGGCCAAAGTGGGTGGATCACTTGAGATCAGGAGTTGGAGACCAGCCTGGCCAACATGGTGAAACACTGTCTCTACTAAAATTACAAAAATTAGCCAGAAGTGGTGGCAGGCACCTGTAATCCCAGCTGTGCAGGAGACTGAGGCAGGAGAATTGCTTGAATGCGGAAGGTGGAGGTTGCAATGAGCCAAGATAGCACCATTGCACTGCACTGCAGCCTGGGCAACAGAGCGAGCCTACTCCTCAAAAAAATAAAAATAAGTTAACATTTCCACTTTTAAGCTATTGTTATGCTTAAAAGACTACAGAGAATATTTGGAGTGGCAGAGTCCTTGATGAACAAAATTCTAACCTAGAAACCATTAAGAAAAAACTTCTGACAAAATTTATGTACAAATTGAAAACAAATTTTGAAAAATCCTAAATAATGTTGAAGGGCAAGAAACAAACTGAGATGATTATTTGCAGCACATGACAAACGACTAATTGCCTTAAGATATAAAGAGCTCTTGCAAATAAATTAGAAAAGGACCAACAATCCAAAAATGTTGGGAAGAAGAGAGAAGACAAAAGCAGGGAGAGGAAGCCTTAAAGATAAATTCAGATGGCTTTGAAGCATAGGAAAAGAGGATCAGCCTTCCTTACCATTATGAAAATCCTGAAATAGGCAACAATCAAAACTTGATAATACAAAGTGATAGCCAGAGTATAGAAGACAAGTATCTTTGTGCACTGCTGGGAATGTCAATTCATTCATCTTTGATGTAAGGCATTATGACAGTGTTTAGCAAAATAATAAATGTCATGTAAACCTCGACTCAGTAATTCAACTTATAGGAACTCCATATCCTACTGTTTTCCATATATGTATGTCTTAGAGTCAGATTACAGCATTGTTTATAGTATTAATAGCAAAACTTGAAACAATTTAAACACTAACCTCTGGGACCTAGTTCAATCTTCTATGGAGAATCCATACAATATCCATTTAAAAGTACATTAGGCAATACGGTGGCATACCTACAGTATCACACACCTGTAAGAGTTCATTTTTTTAATTTATTTATTTTAGATGGAATCTTGCTCTGTTGCCCAGGCTGGAGTGCAGTGAGTGGCATGATTCTCAGCTCACTGCAACCTCTGCAATCCCGGTTCAAGCGATTCTCCTGCCTCAGCCTCCCGAGTAGCTGGGATTACAGGCGCCCGGCTAATTTTTGTATTTTTAATAGAGATAGGGTTTCACCATGTTGGCCAGGCTGGTCTCGAACTCCTGACCTTAGGTGATCCACCTGCCTTGGCCTCCCAAACTGCTGAGATTACAGGCATGAGCCAGGTGCCTAGCAAGAGGTCATTTTTAACACCCCCCTGTTCTCTACAACAAAATTATTTTCAGCAATAGTCATGAAATGAAACAAGTAACACTAATAGCCAGAAAAGAAGTAGAGACAGTGAGATATTTCATTGAACTTTGGATATATAAAATCATACAGTAAAAGAAACAAATTCAAAATTAAATATTGCAGTACAAAATGGGAGAAGTAGTAATGGATTAGTCTTTTTAAATTACATTCATGTATTTTTTGACAAAAGATTAGAAGGTTATTCTACATATTTGTCATTAGTTTCTGTTTTCAACTCCGGCAAATCTGTCTATGATTTTTATCAATATTGATCCTTTTTGCATATGCATGTTCAATAGATAGAAAGCAAGAGATATATAAATGGTTGGGGAAAGTCTTAAGGATAAGGTTGGTAGAGATTCATAAAAATTCCTTTTCATGGCCAGGCTCAGTGGCTCATGCCAGTAATCCCCGCACTTTGGGAGGCTGAGGTGGGCAGATCACTTGAGGTCAGGAGTTCGAGACCAGCCTGGACAACGTGGCAAAATTCCATCTCTACCAAAAATACAAAAAATTAGCCATATGTGGTGGCGGGCACCTGTAATCCCAGCTACTCAGGAGGCTGAGGCAGGAGAATTGCTTGAATCTGGGAGGCGGAGGTTGCAGTGAGCCAAGATTGTGCCACTTGCACTCTAGCCTGGGTGACAGAGCGAGACTCCATCTCGAAAAAAAAAAAAAAAAAGCCAGATTTCAGCGTTCCATCTCAAAAAAAAAAAAAAAATCCTTTTCACAGCACATTCCAGAAATGGTAATATTGTCTATGTCTGTTTCTTCAGATTAATTCTTGCAGTTTTCACATGCCTCCATTGTTGAAAATTTTCCACTTCACTACAGAATTCATCATACATTTCTATTATATTTGCTAAGAATTTCTGCAAAAAATCAGATAAAATGGCTGAACGATAGCAATCGTGGAAATAAATGAAGACCAACAAAATGAAAATAAGCAAATATTCAGAGTTTGCTATAGCAAGGGAGTCAGCCACCATCACATGCATTTGTGGCAGAGACTCAATGGCAGGCAGAAGAGTAGGAAAGTTTCATATTGGGGAAGAGGAGGATGACTTCAGGTTTGCCCTGATTGGAGGCTGTTTGCGGGAGAAAGCAGCAGGTGGGCTAGCCAGAAGCAGAGCATCCTCTGTGATGGGTTAGGGGTGCATATTTGGGCTACTCTAGTTGGTCCTAAGTAGAAAGCAGGGATAAAACTTAAGGAAGTTGTCAGTGATGAATCAAGTACTGGCTACCTTGGGCTGATTGTTCTAAGGCTTATTGTTTGACTCCCTGGGTTATTACTAGAGTTAGTGGTCTGATTTCTTACAAGTGTGATGTGTAGTCTGCTGGCTTCCTGGACTGGTTACTGTAGAAAACAGGCTGGCTTTCTGGGTAGGCTGCTGCAGGCTGTGGGTCAGATTTCAGGTTTTATATATGGCCTGGTCATTGATAATCTGTATGTTCAGTCTTTCATGGCATTAATATTATTTTGTTCTTTGTTTCAGAACATGTTTCAGAAATGATCAAAGCATTTAAATATTTATTTCATTTCTTTCAGTAAAATCAGTATGTTTTGTTGTTTTTCTGCCACACTGCTTTAAAATTTGATTCTTTTTTTTTTTTTTTTGAGACAGAGTCTCAAAAAATCTCCATCTGGATGACTCTGTCACCCAGGCTGGAGTGCAGTGGCACTCTCTTGGCTCACTGCAACCTCCACCTCCTGGGTTCAAGCAGTTCTCCTGCCTCAGCCTCCCAAGTAGCTAGGACTACAGGCATGCGCCACCACGCTCAGCTAATTTTTGTATTTTTAGTAGAGATGGGGTTTCACCATGTTGTCCAGGCTGGTCTTGAACTCCTGACCTCAAGTGATCTGCCCACCTTGGCCTCCCGAAGTGTTGGGATTACAGGCATGAGCCACTGCATCCAGTCCTGATTTTTTTTAATGTATATATTCATTTTCTTTTATTTTTCTGTTGCGTGGTTTATGGTTTTCTGTACAATTTCTGTGTGAGCATCTTCAGGAGACTTTTTTTTTTTTTTTTTTTGAGACAGCGTCATGCTCTGTCACACAGGCTGGAGTGCAGTGGTGTGAACATGGCTCACTGCAGCCTTGATCTCCTGTGTTCAAGTGATCCTCCCACCTCAGCCTTCCAAGTATTTGGGACCACAGGTGCACACCACCATGTCTGGCTAATTTTTAAATTTTTTGTAGAGACAGGGCCTCTCTGTGTTGCCCATGCTGGTCTCGAACTCCTGGCTTCAAGTGATCCTCCCACCTCGGCCTCTGAAAGTGCTGAGATTATAGGTGTGAGCCACTGTACCTGGCCCAGAGATAATTTCAAAGCTTGGTGGTTAGGCTAATTCTGCCTCTTCCCAAATATTTTTATGACTGATTAACCTCATTTAAAACATCACATAAGGGCCAGGCACAATGGCTCATACTTGTTATCCCAGCACGTTGGGAGGCCAAGGTGGGGAGGATCACTTGAAGCCAGGAGTTCAAGACCAGTCTGAGCCACAAAGCAAGATCCCATCTCTTTAAAAAATAATAATAACATAAGCAAAAATTAACTCTGAAAAAGAAAAAAAATTGCATTTAGCTATCATGATTTATTTCTAGTCTAGTGTATAAAGTCGAAAATATGTAGTATCACAGGGACTAGAAACACAAATAGTGCCTGAAGTAAGCTCAAACAATGTGAATTTGATAAGATCTTGCTCAGAAAGTGAACACACATAGGTAAGTTTGTATGTGCCAGGGGATGTTAGCATAACTAGAAATTCTCCAGATAAACTTCTGTGTAGAATGCAATTTAAGGGATAATCAACAAAACGAAATCATGTGAATTTTCTATGTCCATTATTATAACTCAACAGAAACCACAGCAATCATTTAATACTTGGGTCAACAAAAAAATTCTTTTTAGGGAGGAATATTTTTATCACTGACATTGCTTAGAATTGCTAATTTTTGGTGATAATAAAAAGCAGGCTGACTTAATTGTTTTATTATTATTTGTAAATTTTCTACAGACACCTAGGTATTCCTGCTATCCCCAACCCCCAACCCATATGCCACTGGAGATACTTTAACAGAATCGAACGATCACAATGAGAGAGTAAGGAAAAAATTCAAAAGCAAGGACTAAGTGTGTGTATATTACATGCTCCCACTTGCATGTGTTTTAAGCAATACATGTACTTATACATATTGATGAATGGAATGACTGAAAGAACATAGAAGACGTTATTGAAGTGGTCACTTTTCAAGAGGGAGTCTGGGAAACAGGAGTGGGATGGGAGCTAGTCTCTGTCCTAGCTGACTCGCTGGGGACTTCTGTTCATTGCACAATGTACAAGGCATTGCACTAGGTGTATTGCATAAGCTATTTCTTTAGTTTTTACCTGATGTCCTTTTTCTATTCCATGATCCCATACAAGGTACATTCCATTTAGTCATCATGTCTCCTTTGGCTTCTCTTGGCTGTGACAGTTTCTCAGACTTTCCTTGTTAAGGATGACCTTGACAATTTTGAGGAGTACAAAGCAGGCATTTTGTAGGTTGCCCCAATATTTAAATTTGTCTGATATTTTTCTCATCATTATATTGGTGTTAGGGGTTATTGGGAAGACCACAGAGGCAGGGTGTTATTTTCATCACATCACATTAAGGGCACATACTATCCACATGATATAACAGTTGATGTTGACCTGACCTCTTTTTAAACTCAAAAATATGACACCAAGAAAACTGTTACAGCTAATAAGTGATTTCAGCAAGGTTGCAGGATACAAGATCAATACACAAAAGTCAACTATATTTTTGTATGCTGGCAATGAACAATCTGAAAATGAAATAAATCTTACAAAAACATCAAGAAGAATAAAATACTTAGGAATAAAGTTAGCAAAAGAAGTGTAAGACTTGAACGCTGAAAACTATAAAGTGTCATTGAAAGAAATTGAAGAAGACCTAAATAAATGGAAAGATATCCTATGCTCACAGATTGGAAGACTTAATATCATTAGAATGTCAATACTCCCCAAATTGACCTACATATTCAATGCCATCCCTATCAAAATACTATCTGGCTTATTTGCAGAAATTGATAGACTAACTCTAAAATTTTTGGAAATGCAAGGGACCCAGAATGGCCAAAACTATCTTTAAAAAGGGAAATGAAATTGGATGTTTTACATTTCCTGATTTTAAAACTGACTACAAAGCTACAAAGACTGTGAGGTACGGCCATAAAGACAGACATGTAGATCAATGGAATAGAATTAAAAGTTCAGGTGTAAACTACTATGTTTATGGTCAATTGATTTTCGACAAGGGAGCCAAGATGACTCAATGGGGGAAAGAATAATTTTTCAACAAATGATGCTGGAGCGACATGCCACATGCAATGTTATAAAGTTAGATGTCTCCTTCACATAATACACAAAAACTTACTCAAAATGAATTAACTATAAAACTATTAGAAGAAAACACAGGTGTACATCTTTGTGACCTTGAATTATGCAATGGTTTCTTAGACATTATACTTAAAACACAAGAAACCAAAGGTAAAAAAATAGATAAATTAGGCTTCATCAAAGTTTAAGTCTTTTGTGTTTCAAAGGATACTATCAAGAAAGTGAAAAGACAACCTACAGAATGAGAAAATATTTGCAAATCATATACAGTGTCAGATAAAGTTCTAGTATCCAGAATATATAAGGAGCTTCTACAACTCAACAACAAAAAGACAAAGAACCCATCTTGAAAATGGGCGAAGGATTTGCATAGACAGTTCTCCAAAAAAGGTATAGAAATGGCAAATACACATGAAAAGATGCTTAGCATCGTTAGTCATCAGTGAAATGTAAATCAAAACCACAATGAGATACCACTGCACATCAACTAGCTTGGCTAGAATAAAAAAGGTGAACAACAATAACAGGTGTTGGCAAGAATTCGGAGAAAATGGAAACCTCATACATTCTTGGTGGGAATGTAAAATGATGTGGCCAGTTTAGAAAACAGTTTGGCAGGTCCTTAAAAAGTTAAACATAGAGTTAACACGTAACCCAGCAATTCCACTCCTAGGTATATACCCAAGAGAAATGAAAACAAGTCCACACAAAAATTTGCACCTGAATGTTGATAGCATTATTTGCAATAGCCAAAAAGTGGAAAAAACCCAAATGTGCATCAACTGATGGATAAACAAAATGTGGTATATCCATACCAGAGGCATTATGTGGCAATAAAAATGAAGTGTACTGGTTCATGCTAAAACATGGATGAAACTTGAAGACACAATGCTAAGTGAAAGAAGCCAGTCATGAAAGGTCACATATTGTATGACTGTGTTCATATGAAATGTCCATGATAGGCCAAATGTATAGAGACAGCAGATTAGTGGTTTCAAGGTGCTAGGGTGGGGAAAAGGGAGATCATAGATAATGGATATAGGATTTCTTTTGGGGGTCATGAAAATGTTCTTGAATTAAATAGTGATGATGATTGCACAACATTGTGAATCTATAATAGTCCCTCCATATTTATGGGTTCCAATTCCATGAATTCAACCAACCTTGGATCAAAAGTATTCAGGGAAAAATTTTCATCTGTATGAAGATGTACAGACACTTTTTTGTCATTGTTGCCTAGACAATGTAGTATAACAACTATTTACATGGCATTTACATTCTACTAGGTATTATAAGTAATCTGACAATGATTTAAAGTGTACAGGAGGATGTGCATAGGTTATATGCAAATACTATGCCATTTTATATCAGGCAATTGAGCATCCATGGATTTTTGAAGGTCCTGGAACCAATCCCCCACAGATACTGAGGTACAACTGTACTTAAAAAACAATGAACTGTATAAATAAGTGAATGTTATACGTGATTTATATTTCAATTAAAAATATATTTCAGATATGCAAAAATGTATGAAGAATCATATAGGCCAGGCGCGATGGCCCACACCTGTAATTCCAGCACTTTGGGAGGCTGAGGCAGGTGGATCACTTGAAGTCAGGAGTTCGAGACCAGCCTGGTCAACATGGTGAAACCTTATCTCTACTAAAAATACAAAAGTTAGCTGGGCGTTGTGGCGGGTGCCTTGTAATCCCAGCTACTCAGGAGGCTGAGGCAGGAGAATCACTTGAACCTGGGGGGCGGAGGTTGCAGTGAACTGAGATCCTGCCATTGTGCTCCAGCCTGGGCAACAGAGCAAGGCTCCATCTCAAGAAAAAAATAAATTATATTTAAAAACTAAAATATATGTCTATAAAATTATATATTTTTAAAAAACATTTTTAGTATACTATTTCTGGTTGTCCCTTTGTAACCAAATCAAGGATATGTTATATTACCTATTCAGTTACAAAAATGGAATCATTTCTTTAAAAAAGTCAATTGATCAAAAATTAGAGTGTCCAAAGAATTATTAGCATATTTCTGCTCTTGTCAGGGCTTGTGTTAGGGGTTCTCCAATAGGATATATATACAGAGAGAGAGATACATGAAATGGGATTAATAAATGAAATCCTGAGGTCAGTCGCTGGACCCACAGTCCTCCATCCAACAGGGGGTGCTGTTTAGGTTCGAATGAACCCAGCACTGAATCCACTGTCCATACCCTTAGCCATGATCCTGTTGCAGCAGCAGGCTCAAGTTTGGGGGCCCAAGGCATACAATGTGGTGGGTGATGGGTGGGGTTGTCTGAAAGAACAAGAATAGAACTTTATACGATGAGGCCCAGACCAGGAAGGGGTGAACTCTGAGCTTCATGGTAAACCCATCTGTAACTGAACAGCCTCCAATATCAGCAACCTTGTGATTTTTTATGAGATGATAGTGCCCCTGCATCACTTCAGCATCTGAAAATAATAATAAAATGAAAGTAAAGTCCTGAGTCTCCGTATTATGAAACCTTGAAGTTACCCAATCAACTTGATTCCATGAAATTTAAGGCTGTAAAGTTTTTCAAACAGAGCCAACAGGTACTTCCAGCAGGAGTTCCCTGGAGCTGGATCCTAGGCTAAGAGATTGGGAGAATTTTCTTTTCTTTTTTTTTTCTTTTTTTCTTTTTTTTTAAGCATAGCTCACCGAGGGTCCTGCCATTATTTCAATAGTCAGTGACTGGTCAGGAACATAAGCAACTAATCAAAGATCAGCAGTGTCTGTAACGTAAACTCAAGGGAGGTTGGGTTTCCAGTTCTTATCTCCCTGGAGCAGCCCGGTGTGCCTACATGTAGACGGCCATAAGATGCAGTTTCTGCCTCCCACCGTAAATTATTAACTTAGCTCCACCCCGCAAGCTAGAATCGCCTCATACCTTGTTGCTGGATGTCAGGCATCACAGAATCATAAGTCAGTGGGAAGCAACTTTTGAATGGCTCAAGAGGAATAGTTGTTAACAACCTGCTCTCCCTCTGTGCGTGATGGAATCCAAGGTAATGTGACTTGAACACTAGAAGGTGGTTACACCTGGTGACCTCTTTTCTACCAAGAACTTTCCAAATGGCTATAATGCTGGGCCTCTGCTAGGCCTGGAGAGAGAACTGGGCGTGTGAATAAGATTCTGAATTTATTTGATGAAAAATTCTATGTTAAGATGATCATGTAGATATCTCCCTTCTGTTGCTGGGGGCAAGTACGATGATTTAGAACCAAAGCATGGGAGAGTTACCGATTCATTTCACATTGGTCTAGAACAGCGTGCTGTGCAATAAAGACAGAAATGGTCTCTGTTAGCACTGCCTAATGCAAGAGCTCTTGGCTATGTGTGACTACTGAGTGGTTAAACTGTGGCTGGTTCCTGGGGAACTGAATTGTAAATTTGACTGAATTTTCATTAATTTAAATAGCCACATGTGGCTAGTGGCTACTGTGTTAGCATGGTTGGGTCTTAAATAATAGATGGTGACCTCATGTTGAAGGAAATTGTAGGTAATAATTGGCCTTACATGTAAGACTATTGGTACATTTTCTTCATTACCCTAGATACCTTGTGTTTCCTTTTAAATGCGATAAGCCCAACTTGTCCCAGGTAATGATCATTTTAAGAAGCTAAGACAGCTGTTTTTATTATCAGGTAGACAATGGTAAAGCTCTCCTGGGAAGATGGAAGACAGAACTTGAGTGTCAAACCTATTGCCTCTTTCCAGGAGTTAATTCTAAGCATAAAGACTTCCAAGGACAGGTTTTCTGGGTTTCGATAGCATAATCATCTCATGTGTTCTCTGTTTAGAAAACATTATCTGCTGAAGGATTGTTTCTTTTCTTGCCTAGACAGCCAAAAAGCTTACAGAAACATTTATGGATGTAGTTAGAATAATTTCGTAGCTGTTCACAGAAGCCTCAGGCACCATGAAGAAACCCTAGCTACAGCTTGTCATTGATCCATTCAGTCAATTACCCATTTCTATAGCACTGAATACTGTCACCTTGGCAACTGGTAACTCAAAATGGCACTGTCCTTGACCGAAAATGTATCTGAATGCCCATAACAAAGTCCTGGTTTTAGATGCCATTCTTGCATGATATCTCAAAGTGGTAACTCTAGGAAGCATGATTCATTGGGAGAAAATAATTTAGTTGATGGACAGAGAGGAGTATTTGCTGTAGGTCTTGCAGTGAAAGACAACAGATAGGTCTGTCCTCAAGGTCGCATGTGCCTTTTTTTAAATTGTCATGGCTTTACAAAATGCACGTAGAAGTAACCATGCAGATTGACTTATACATAGTTACACTTTTTTGAAAAATGGAGGAAGCTCTTCCTTCTTATGAATTAATTCCCAGATTCCTTTGGTAAAACATTATTTGGATAGAGTTTACTCCAGATTAAAAAAGAACAAACTGGGCTGGGCATGGTGGCTTGTGCCTATAATCCTAGCACTTTGGAAGGCCAAGGTGGGAGGATCCCTTGAGACTAGGAGCTTGAGACCAGCATGAGCAACATAGTGTGACCCCCCCACCAAAAAAATTAAAAAGTAGCTAGATATGGTGGCACATGCCTGTGGTCCCAGCTACTCCAGAGGCTAAAGTGGGAGGATCACTTGAGCTAGGGTGATCAAGGCTGCAGTGAACTGTGATCATGCCATGCACTCAGCCTGGATGACAGTCTGAAACCCTGTCTCAAAAAAAAAAAAAAAAAAGAGGCCGGGTGCGGTGGCTCATGCCTGTAATCCCAGCACTTTGGGAGGCCGAGGCAGGCAGATCACGAGGTCAGGAGATCGAGACCATCCTGGCTAACACGGTGAAACCCCGTCTCTACTAAAAATACAAAAAAATTAGCCGGGCGTGGTAGGGGGTGCCTATAGTCCCAGCTACTCGGGAGGCTGAGGCAGGAGAATGGCGTGAACCCGGGAGGCAGAGCTTGCAGTGAGCGGAGATCACGCCACTGCACTCCAGCCTGGGCGACAGAGCAAGACTCTGTCTTGAAAAAAAAAAAAAGTTAATATTATTATTATATTATTTTATATTATATTAAATATTAGAGATGGAACCATTCAGAAATGACCTCAGAAGGAGCTGAGTTTGATGAACAAAGCAAAATGAAGAACTGAAGCACCATGAATAACAATGCTGATTTTAGCGAGCATTTGCTTCGTGCCGTTGATTGTCATTGTCCACATGGTAGCATATTTAGTTCGCAGGTGATTCATTCAAAAGCTCACTTTATGCAAATCATCTGGGCAGTTGCCTCTTCTCTCCAAGTTAGTTGGGTTGTAGGGAATCCATAAACTCCTGATATGGTTTGGCTGTGTCCCCACCCAAATCTCATCTTGAATTGTAGCTCCCATAATTCCCTCGTGTTGTGGGAGGGACCCGGTGGGAGATTATCGAATCATGGGGGCAGTTTCCCCCATACTGTTCTCATGGTAGTGAATAAGTCTCATGAGATCTGATGGTCTTATAAGGGGAAACCCCCTTCGCTTGGCTCTCATTCTCTTCTCTGCCGCCATGTGAGGCATGGCTTTCACCTTCCACCGAGGTTGTAAGGCCTCCCCAGCCACGTGGAACTGTGAGTGCATGGAACCTCTTTCCTTTGTAAATTGCCCAGTCTCAAGTATGTCTTTATTAGCAGCGTGAAAACGAACTAATAAAGCTCCCTGTCAGATAATGAGGAAGAGACTCATGGCTTATATCCATGTTCATTCAATATTTATAGAAGGTGGCTTCTACTGTTTCAGATGAGCACTTTTCCATGGTTCAAATATGTTTTCCTGACTTTATAACACATCAAAGAATCAAAGTGATATAGGTAATTTAAAAAAGATTTTTATTTTAAAATAATGATAGACTCACAAGAAGTAACAAAAATAATACAGAGAGGTCTCAAATATCCCTCAATCGTTACATCTTACATAATTAGAGCACAATATCTAAACCAGGACAAATAATGCTGGTACAATGTGCATATACAGTTACATGCCATTTTGTTACATCTGTAGATTTATGGAACAACCACCATCAGTAATTATTTTTACCCTGAGTGTCATAAGTGCTAATTAATTAAGCTCATTAAGCCTTGAATAGACTCATTCTCATGTTCCATTAGTAGGCAGGTTCACTAGAAGATGGGTGAAGTGGTGTACAAGTAATATGTTGGGTTCAGCACATAACTGGGTTAGATAAATTGCTTCCTGGATCTTATTTCAGAGACCTTTATTTTTAATTTTGCAACTGATCTTACTATCACTGATTTTCACATCAAAGCTTGAATTTAAACCTGGCCAGGATGTTTTTATATTATTACCGTAAAAACTCTTATGCCAGGTAAAAATATGAACACTTTCCTCCCATCAGCCTCTACTATCTTACCTTATCTTTTGACTAACAAAATAAACATTTTATATCAAAACCGTGGGGGGAAAAAGCCAAATCACACAGTTTCACCGCAGACACTTATGACAATATTTTAAGGTAACTTCCTAATTAACCATCTTTTTATTGGTATCTGTTTAAAAGCCATCTAAAAGATTAGACATTGTGTCCAGAACTGGTGCCTTGTTCACTGCTCCTGTAATTGCGTTATATTTCTAAAGAGATTGTAAATTCCTGGGGACCAGGTACCTTCTATAATGCCTTGCACACAGTAGATGCTCAGAAAATATTTGCTGATTGGTTGTTCAGCTGCTGGGTTCACTTGAAAAATAAGAAGAAAGCCCCCATGGCTAGGATGATTGCAATCACATTTATGTCCCTGTTAGAGTCACTCAAATTTCCAGTGTCATCATTTGCTTCTTAAGCCGAAAACACGGATTCTGGAGTAAATGTTTCTAATAGTAGTTTTTGCAGATGCCACAAAATTATTTCATTTAGTCTCTGCTTGGTAAAAGCACCATCTAATGTGGAAGATTCCACGGTGGTTGGAGATGCTGCTTCAAATTACTGCATGCTTTTACTCATCGCTGTCATATGTAGAAAAGGAAACTCTATTTTCCCTTCCACGCTATTTTCTAGACATTCAGGATTCCATAAGATATGCTTTGCTCTCTTTGCTTCAGAATGTAACTTTTACTAGTGAGTGGGACAAGAAGTTTCTCTCAATACAGTCCAGAAGATGAAGCCTTTTTTCTCTTTTGGGGAATGGATTCCTTGTCGTCACATAAGCCTGGCTCTGTTCATAATACCACTTTTATTTTTTTCCATAAAAATAGCTTTTTAATTACATAAATGATAAATGACCATTGTAGAAAGGATCTTTTAAACGGTATAGGAAATTGTAAGAAAATGACAATGATTTGAAATTCTGCCAGCCCTGGCTAACAACGGCATGCTGAGGCCCATGCATCTTGCATTTCTTCGTGTGCATGAGCATATTCAGCCCTCATCTCTCACCTCCCACTCTCCACCTCCTTCCCCCAGGGTCTTTATGTAATTGTCTCCATGGTCATAGAAACATATGGGGCTATTTGGGTAGCTACCCACATACATACATGAATGTATTTTCATCATTGTTTATTCTACGAAACTAGAATCCTTATTACATACACTTTTGCTACATCTTGCGTGTCTCGTTATAGACATCTCTTGAGCCTTTTAGCATAGATCTAACAGATTATTTTTCTCCCCGACATGTATGATGAAGTGTGTTAAACATACAGAAAAGAAGAAATTGTACAGAAAACACCCACTACCTAGATTCTACCATTAACCTATTACTTATGCTTATTTTTCATCTATCTATCCCTGTAACCACTAATGTATCTTATTTTGGGGGGATAGATTTCAAAGAAAGTTGCAGACATCAGCATACTTCCCCTAAATGCTTTGCACACCTGCCATTAGCTCGTGTTCAGTGTTTTTTCTTTCGAGGTAAATAGTATATACAATCTAAAGCACTAACCTTGGATATTTCATTTGGTAAGTTTTGATGAAGGTATATACCTGTGTGACCCAAATCCCTATTGAGACACAGCCCCACTATTACCTCAAAAGGTGTTCTCATGCCCCCACCCAATATAATACCAGTTTTAGTAGAGTCTTCAAGTGGTAACATTTGTTGATGAAAATAATTTTAGTCCTTAATATTAATACTATAATCAAGGGTACTTGCCCCAAATACTCATAAACAATATTATTGTGAGGCTGGGCACAGTGGCTCATGCCTGTAATCCCAGCATTTTGGGAGGCCGAAGTGGATGGATCACCTGAGGTCAGGAGTTTGAGACCAGCCTGGCCAACACGGTGAAACTCCATCACTACTAAAGACAAAAATTAGCCGGGTATGGTGGTACACACCTGTAATCCCAGCTACTCAGGAGGCTGACGCAGGAAAATCGCTTGAACCCGGGAGGCGGAGGTTGCAGTGAGCCGATATTGCGCCATTGCACTCCAGCCTGGGTGACAGAGCGAGACTCCGTCTCAAAAAAAAAAAAAAAAAAAAAAAAAATTGTGGTTATAGAACTTACCGGGAAATAAACTGTTGCTTGAATTTTGATTCCTAAACTTGTAATTCTAGATGTTTCAAATCTAAATGATGTGATATTTGAAATATATTTAGGTGTGTCGTTCTTAATTTATAAAGATGAATCACGTTATTTTTAAAATGATCTAAAACAATATATAAAATGTTATCCGAGTATTATTTATACACCCACACACATGCACAGGGGTGGGGAGAACTAGAAGGAATATTCCACAATAAGCAGTCTTGCTCTGTCACCCAGGCTGGAGTGCAGTGGCACCATCTCGGCTCACTGCAACCCCCGCCTCCCAGGTTCAAGTGCTTCTCCTGCCTCAGCCTCCTAAGTAGCTGGTATTACAGGCACCCACCACCACACTTGGCTAATTTTTTTTTATTTTTAGTAGAAACGGGGTTTCACCATGTCGGCCAGGCTGGTCTCTCAAAACTCCTGACCTCAGGTGATCTGCCCGCCTCAGCCCCCAAATTGCTGGGATTCAGGCGTTAGCCACCACGCCTGGCCAGCAGTGGTAATTTCTGAGCAGTGGGATTATGAATGATTTTTATTCTCTTTGTTGCATTTTTTCCAGAATGTCTAAAATAAAGGTGTAATTCTTCTGTAATCAAACAAAAAGATCCCATTTTAAAGAGTTTTAGGGGCTTTTAATAGCTGTTTATTTAATAAGTATATTTTTCATCCCCATCTGTCTTATCACAAATCATTCAGTGCAATAGCAAAATTCAGAAAAGTAAAATTGTAAGAATTGTACACATTTATCTTTATTTCTTGCATATTTGTCACACAAGGGGTGACTGTGTATGCTCTTCCTTCTTCTTTTACTCTCCGTCTCCTCCCTTGCCATAATAAGCTATAAAAATCCCAGCCTGAAGCCAGGCACAGTGGCTCAAGCCTGTAATCCCAGCACTTTGGGAGGCTGAGGCGGGCAGATCACGAAGTCAGGAGATCGAGACCATCCTGGCTAACACAGTCGAATCTCTTGTCTCTACAAAAAAAAAAGAAAAGAAAAAATACAAAAGATTAGCTGAGTGTGGTGGCACGCGCCTGTAGTCCGAGCTACTCAGGAGGCTGAGGCAGGAGAATCGCTTTAACCCAGGAGGTGGAGATTGCAGTGAGCCGAGATCACGCCACTGCACTCCAGCCTGGGTGACAGAGCGAGACTCTGTCTAAAAAAAAAAAAAAAAGAAAAGAAAAGAAATCCCAGCCTGCAATTCCCGGGTTACCACATGCCCAGGATAAGTGCCCAAGATGTCTGCCCTTTAGGGAATGAATGTTTCCAGTAAACATAGCCAGTTTCTGGCTAAAGAGCTTGTATATTTTGCTTTTTATTTAAAAATTGGGACAGAAAAAAATATGTTTCTTCAACAAGAGGAATCTTAGGGACTAGCAGTATCTTTTTGGTTTCAGTGTCTGCCTAGCCTTTACTTTTACACATTTGAGATTAGACCTTTTTGGCCCAACTCTCCAGAAGGAAGAGAAGAGAACAGGGGGCCTGTCCTCCTTGGCAAGGTTAGTATTACAAATGAGAAATAGCCTGACTTGCATTTGGTATGGAGGAAAAGGGGTTGGAAAAATTCTAATAAGGTCTAGTTGTGGGAAAAGAAGGAAAAGCTGGCCTTGCCATCCGCACAGTCAACAGGCCCTGAGTTCCTGGTAGCCGGAGCTGGCAGAAGTCTATCCTGGTGGTCTTGGTTCCTTCCTCCCTCCTCTGTGAGCCCCCTTTTCTACCCCACAGTGTTTGGTGGAGTTTTCTGTCTCTGGTGGTCTTCAATATGAATGTTTCTGTATTCACACGACTTCAGGGGAATAACAATTCTCCTTACGTGCAATCTTCCTTAACTTAATCTTTAAATTTTCCCTAGATCACTGGGGAAACGTGCGACTGGGTCATATTCACACCCATGTAATTTAAACAGCAAAGTGCACCTGAATCACCTCAGGGAACTTGTTGAAATGCAGATTCTGACTCAAGCAGGACCTGAGGTTTTGTTCTGTGGATGCTCGAACTGCATCCATGGACCACAATTTAAGGGCTTATAGCTATGGGCCTGGGATATACCCTTATAGAAATTATCTACGATACCTGTCGAGCATGCAGCTTCCTGAGCCCTCCTCTTGTGGGTTTTCTAGATCCACCAGGATGCTAAAGTTTGCATCCTGCATGTAAAATTCCTGCATGCTGAGGTTTGAGAACCACAGCCTTAGGTTTTTGTTTTTTTGGTTTGTTTTTGTTTTGTTTTGTTTGGTTTGGTTTTTCTTTGTTTGTTTTTTGGTTTTTCTTTTTCTTTTTTTTTTTGGGAGATGAAGTCTCTGTCACCCAGGCTGGAGTGCAGTGGCCTGATCTTGGCTCACTGCAACCTCTGACTCCTGCCTCAGCCTCCCAAGTAGCTGGGATTACAGGTGTGTGCTGCCACGCCCAGCAAATTTTTTTTTTTTCTGGTATTTTTAGTAGAGATAGGGTTTCATCATGTTGGCCAGGCTGATCTTAAACTCCTGACCTCAAGTGATCTGCCCGTCCTGGCCTCTCAAAGTGCTCGGATTACAGGCGTGAGCCACCACACCTGGCCACAGCCTTAGCTTTAAGTGGTTTCTAAATGTACCTCAAGTCACAACCACTTTTAACCAAATATTATTTAAACACCCCTTTTTGGGTGATGAATAATTTAAAAGCCATGTTGAAAGCTGTCTACTGTGTGAAGTCTACTAATTTTCTTACTAACCCAAGGGACTCAGACTGAGATGAAAAAACAAAACCCTGAAAAAAATTTGCATTTGATGGTCCAAACAGGTTTTAACATAATCCATTGTCAATATCCAATTTCTACTGAGTGTTTGCAAGGCTCCCAGACCATGAAATATCTTTTGTTCCAGAGAAAGATAGCTGTGGATACCAGGAGGATTCTCCTTAAGGCAAGAAAAGCCCTTTCTGTTTGTTTTTGTTTTTTTTTTGTTTTTTTACAAGATCAGCTACAAATTCTTTTAGGTAAACAACTTCAAAGAACCTCATGGGCTCTGGGAAAGCTTAAATGTGATCAGAATATATATCCTCTATTTAAAACTGCTATAAACTTCCAACAATTTTTTTTTCTAACATTTATCAGTAGGAAGTAGTGCAAGAAGACTAGGCTTTGCATTTAATGTTTTTTAACCCTCTATTTATGCTGAAAAAGATGGTCATGTAATGGCATTTTTTTCCCCTCCACCTCTAACTCCCGTGGGCCAATTTAAGGCTATGAACTGCTCTCATTTTTACTAGGAGACTAATCTCTAAGGTAATTTAGAAGCACTATTCTGTTTGCTGATATTCATAATTATACGCATTCAGTGGTGATTAAGAGGCTGCAGCTGGATAATAAAACACCAACAGTCCCCTTGTTGTTAGATAAAAAGATAATCCTTCATTTCAACTGTAGAGCTGTCAGTGTTGGGTAAATCAAACACATAAAAACTTGCAATATTATCATTCTCAGATTTGATCCTTATAAATTCCATAGCTAAGACCCCTTGAATCAAAGCATCAGACCGTGCTTCTTTCTTGATGTGTGTTTGGTTTACATTTTAGCTGCCACTGAATATTATTCCAAACTGGGGACAGCACCTTCTGAGGGGCTTCCTAGAGAGCAGCCCTCTCCATCTGGTCATTGAACAAAAATGCATTCAGTTCTATGAGGAAACTACTACCTGCTCTTTGCAGCATTAATTTCTGGTTCGTGTTTAGTGAGCCAGGAAGCAGTCATGGGTTTGGAAAGGTGATGTCTCAACTCGGGTTTTAAATAGCATTCTTTTTCAACACTGTTAGGTGCTGTGAACACAGAGCTGCTGGGAATAAAAAAAGGTCTTAATTTAGAAGTATCCCAACTTGAGGGATGTATTACAAACCATTAAACATTGATTGGAAAAGGGTTATATTTGAAATTCCACTTTGCTTCTCTTGGTGTGTGCAGTTTTAAAATACCATTGATTCAGAAATATGGTTCCTAAGGAAAGAAGGATGTGTGCTAAACGGGACATTGAACAGGGTTGGCAAACTTTTTCTGTAAAGGGCCAGATAGTAAGTATCTTAGGCTCACCTCTTTGTAGCATAAAAGCAGCCATAGGCAAACATAAATGTGTCTGTGTTCCAATAAAACTTTATTTATGGATACTGAAATTTGAATTTCATATAATTTTCTCATGCCATGAAATACTATTCTCTTGATTTTTTTTCTCCCAACCATTTCTCATGCCATGAAATACTATTCTCTTGATTTTTTTTCTCCCAACCATTTCTCATGCCATGAAATACTATTCTCTTGATTTTTTTTCTCCCAGCCATTTCTCATGCCATGAAATACTATTCTCTTGATTTTTTTTCTCCCAACCATTTCTCATGCCATGAAATACTATTCTCTTGATTTTTTTTCTCCCAACCATTTCTCATGCCATGAAATACTATTCTCTTGATTTTTTTCTCCCAACCATTTAAAAATGTAAAAGCCATTCTTAGCTCAAGTGTCATTCTAAAACAGGCGGTGGGCTGGACTGGGGCCATGGGCCATCATTTGCTGATTTTTCATGCAGAGCAGCAAAACTGTTCTTGCTTTTTGAATTTCCTTGACCACTCACTGAGTTTCTACAGTTGGCATCATTATGAATATTGCTTTCTACTTAAGCATCCACTGATATCTAGTATGTTCTTAGGTTTGGCTCGATGACCAGAGGCAGTTTTCAATAACGCATCATGACAATTACCAGAAGCAAATGTAATGTGCAAATATCAGGATTGCTGTCATAAGAAAAATAACACAGTGACACAAGTCATTTTTTTAGAAATGTAAAAAGGTATACAAGACTGTAAACCTGAAGTCCTGGTTGGTTTTTAAGCCTTAGACATAAGGCAACCACAGGATTCCGTGTTAGGGGAGAAATAGAAACAATAATCTACCCTTTTTGACGGTATAATCAAGTTGATCTCTTTTGGTTCTGCTATTTCCCTGCTATCTCCACAAGGCTAACTAATTTTCCAGATAAAACAGGGCTTCTCACCTACTTAGCTTCCCTAACTGTAATTTTATAAAGAGTAAGTTGAAAATGAAAGTGTGGACTTCGTCTCCGGGACTGTTGTCCTAATTCTTTTCTTTGAGGGAAAATACAACAGAATTTTGCCATGCAATGTTTTCGAAAGGCTTTTTATGAAAGCCAGTTCCTATTCTGACTCACTGGTTTCCTCTCAGTGCATTCTGCAAGCATCACGAGATAGTGTGTTCTCTGCAGTATGCAGAGTAAAAGCGATACCATGAGCGTTTTAGGTCTGTACATATTCCTTTATGATTAGTTACATCAGATAATCTGGCGAGGCTTTAAGATTTTTTTTTTTTTTTCCTCCACCACTTCTGGGGGAAGCATCCTGTGGTGTTAAAAAAAAAAAAAAAAAAAAAAAAGGCTCTAAGATAAATATTTCCCAACCTTTCCAATAGGGTTTTGGGCCTTTGGGTATGAGTTTTTAGTAAAATTTTTAAACACAGGCATTCAAGGAATATACACCCAGCCCATCAGGAGTTGGCCTGTGGTCCCTCGCTGATGTATAGCAAGTGTTTCAAACTCTTGTTAGCAAAGATGGTTTTCGGTGTCTGTGCCCGGGAGATGGCCTTCCGCTACGGGAGGGCAGGAGGTGGCCGGGGAGCTGTCCCCGCTCACTAACCTAACCGTGGTTCGGATTTCTGGCCTAAACCCAGGCATTTGAGCGCCTCATAGCTCGTGGGGAACCTGACAGGCAATTGTATTATGAAAGCTGACATGCTGAATGGACCCTTCTTGACGATATTCTTTACCTGTCTCTTTGTGTTAAAGTGGGGACAAGCAAAGTAGCAGAGGAGAGAGTCGACCGAGGCGGGAGGGAGGTGGCAGGTGGAATGAAATATCGGGCAGTTTCATGTGCGGAGCTGATGTCGCCGGCATAACAAGAAAGGGTTGCACAGAACAAATCTCTATTGTTCCCTGTCATCTTTAAATGAGTGTCAAAGTAGGCAGGGGGGCTTTGACCGTTAACCGCACAATTTAGCCTGCCTGTTGTGTCTCGCGGGCCCCACCTCCTTGGAGTTTCTCAGATTAGAAAAGAACGCCCCAGCCCCTTATAAATGGGCCATCTCTTGTTCTTTGTGTCCGGACTGCCTAGTGTGAAATCCACAGTGACGTTAAATGTTTTCTAATGAATAATTACTGAAAGGAAATGGAGGGCTATATGTGTAATGGATTGTAGCGCATTAAAATGTTTTATTTTGCGCACAAAAATGTTGTCCTTCACAAGCACCATGATTGTTGCGAAAAGGCCTTTGTGCGGACCTGTTTCAATGGATTATCTGCAAGCGTTTCCATCCCAAATGGGAATCAAAGGGCGTCTTTGGCAAACTAATGTTTTTCAAGATGGCAGCCATGAAACGCAGTTAGTATTTAAAGTTGTGGAGTTTAAAGGAATGTTTGAACTCGGGAGATTTTCTCACTTACTTTCCCCTCTTTTGATTTGGGAAAGTGAAGCGACTCCCCGCGACCTCTGTCCTGTTCCGGCGGCCGGACGGTCAGCCCTTTACAAGATTCTTGGAGCCTATTTCTTAGGAACAAGCAAGAGGTCCCAGGAATGGGTAGCTGGCACTTTGTCTTGGCTACCCTTCTTTTTTCTTTTTCTTCTTTCTTTTTTTTTTTTATTTCCTGGATGTATGTGGATAAATATGAGACTGCAGGGAATTTCAAATGTCACCTCGTTGTGAACTTATTCAGAGTTTCCCAGTGGGTTTTACTGGGGAACGTATTGGGATTTGGGTGGCTATTCATTGTCTCTCTAAATACTGAGACCCTTGAGTTTGTGTACCAGCTCTAATCGGTTTATGACAAAATTAATGGGAGTTTCTGGTGCCTCGTGAATCAATGCAGAGATGTGAACTTCAGAGTTTCAACGATGCTTTGTTGCCAATTAGGCGACCACTATAGCCAGGGTCTAGCCTGCCCCATCTCTCTTCTCTGTCTCTGTCTCTGTCTCTCTCTCTCTCTTCACTAATAATATTGAGGACTGAAGACAAGAATAGCTGTTGTTTTCTGATGACTGTAGGCTAAATGTTTTGTGAAACACATAGTTTTCTAACTTCTCAAGCATCTGCCTTCATGAGGGTAGAGAGTAGGTGTGTTTGTTCCATGGAAAATATTTCCTTGGTCCTTATGGAAGATGTGTGAACTGGAGTCAAAAAAATCTATAGTCTTGCTCTTTCTCCATGAGAATAATCATACTGAACTCCATAAAGAAAAAAACAAATGAGCATTTCTCAATTGTGAATTAGAGAGGTTAACAGAAATAGGTCTTGTTTACAAGACTGCCTAAAATCTTGGTTGGTTTTTACGTTTTAGACATGAGACAACCACAGGATTCTATGTTAGGGGAGAAATAGAAACAATAATCTACACTTTTTGAAGGTATAACGGAGTAGTGATAGAGTCTCCTTCCCAACCTATGAACACAACTCACGTCTGTCAAGTTGTTCTCTTTTCCTTTTGCTATTTCCCTGCTATCTCCACAAGTCTAATTTTCCAGATAAAATAAGGCTTCTCACCTACTTGGCTTCCCCACCTGTAATTTTATAAAGAATAAGTGAAAAATCAAAGTGTGGCCTTTCTCTGACCATTGGAACTGTTGTCCCAATTCTTTTCTTGGAAGGAAAATACAACAGAATTTTGCCATGCAATGTTTTTAAAAGGCTTATTATTGTAGGACATAACCCACACACTGAAAAGTGCATAAAATAAATGTGCAACTTAATAAATTATAAAGTGTACACCCATGTAGTAACCATCCAGGTAAAGACATAGAAGGTTCTAGCACCCCAGAAACCCCTCATATACCTCCTCCACTTAACTCCCTTCATACCCACTAAAGATAACCACTATTTGGATTTTCGTGACTCGTTTTTGAGTCATTTGCTGAGGACTTACCCCCCAAAAAAACTTAAAAAAATCAAACTAGTTTCACAAAGTGAAAGCATCTAGATGATTCTAACTGGCATAGAGATGAGCACAATTATGTCTTAATATGTGTCACAAAAACTAGCAGGCCAGGTGCAGTGGCTCACGCCTGTAATCCCAGCACTTTGGGAGGCCGAGGCAGGCAGATCACTTGAGCTCAGGAGTTCATGACCAGCTTGGCCAACATGGCAAAACCCTGTCTCTATGAAAATTTTTTTAAAATTAGCCAGGTGAGGTGGGACATGCCTGCATGGTCCCAGCTACTTGGAGGCTGAGGCAGGAGGATCACTTGAGCTCAGGAGGTCGAGGTTGCAGTGAGCTGTGATTGTGCCACTGCACTCCAGCAGCCTGGGTGACAGAGCAAGACCTTGTCTCACAAAAAAAAAAAAAAAAAAAAAAAAAAAGAAGAACCACTAACCAGCAAACCCAATGCTTTGCTGTGCAACACTATTACATAGAACAAGATGAAGGGAGGCCCTGTTGTTGTTAATCTTGCATCAATGCAAAGAAAACAATTGAGTCAGTAACAGAAAAGATGAGATTTGGACAGGGCAAAAATCACAAGTGAATCACGCAGCCATGGGAGTCATTAATAATTGTCTTTGGATTGGGGCAGATTGCCTTCTGTTTAAGTTTGGAAAAAGAAAGCAGATAGACAATATCATTTATTGCTCAGCCACCCAAAGGCTTAGTAATTCTGTCAGCAAAAATGAGAGCTCTTCCCTATAAACCACAAGTCACCAAACAATTGTTGGGTAACATAAACATGAGCTGTGTGTCCTTGATTATTTTATTGAGAGAAGGCAGGACTCCGTTAACTGTGAGATGTATTGAAAGGACATCTTTCTGTATTCAGCCTTCTAGTTTTGATGTGAAGTCTGATTTGAGCCAAAAGAGAATCTGTTTTTCTTCTGCATTTAAATATTATTATTGAAAATTATGTCATCCACTATGTTTTGTTTTGTAGGGGAGAAAAGGTACTATCTTTTTTAACTTTGCAGGTTCATGACTGAGAAACCAATTACAAAAGACAGATTAACAAGAGAAAAGTATATACATTTATTGAATTTGTTTAACACATCACAGGAGCCTTCAGAAATGAAGACCCACAGAAAACTGTATATTTGTGCTTGGGTTTGATGAAGAGGGGACAGTCATGCAGAAGTAGGATTGGACAAAAGAGGATGGGTTTGATCTAACGGTAATAAACCGGGAGAAACTTAGCAAGGCCTGTTTGTCCACATTCTTCTTGGTATTTCCGTGTCTTCACAGATGAGGACATTCCTTTCTTGTATGTATACTAATACATAGAAGACCCTCTGGAATGAGGATCTTAATCACCTACTTTTTAAGGCAAAGTCACCCAGTTTCTATGGCCTGCTTTGGCTCCTCTTTCAAGTGCCAATGTGCCGTATTTTGCCATAGCATATCTTGCAGTCCATCAGTTTCATTGGTTGCAAGCAATAGAAACAACCTAAATTATGCCAAGAAGGAATAAGTTGTTTTCTTTTGGCCTTAGATGCAGGGAGTGAAGTTGGAGAGTCCCTCGTTCATAGCACACAACTGTTTTGCTCTTTCCAAAGCCTCTCTCCCAATTTCTTTTCCTTCTTTCATCTCCCTCATAGTTATCTCCGCAATTAGGCACTTCCTTCCTCACCAGCACATTTGATATGCATCCTTTAATATGCCCATATCGGCATGCAGCATGTTGCTTTGTTTGGCACAAAAAAAATTACATGCTAGTTAAATGGTAAATTGTTTCTTTTTTCTTCATAATACATTTAGTATCTTTCCTAGATGTTGTGAGTACATTTCATTTGTTGCCCCTGACCAAGGAGAGTATTCCCTAGGGTGCTTCTCCCACTTACCCAGTCCTGGTGGTAGATATCTTCTTTCTCCATGCCCCTGAAATGCAGATCTAGGCTCCTGAAGAGAGGAATCCAGAAATCTAGCTGTGTCTTCCACCTTCCTCGTGGCTACATAAGAGGGAGCGTCGGCCGGGCGCGGTGGCTCACGCCTGTAATCCAGCACTTTGGGAGGCCGAGACGAGTGGATCACTTGAGGTCAAGAGTTTGAGACCAGCCTGGCCAACATGGTGAAACCCCAACTCTACTAAAAATACAAAATTAGCTGCGTACGGTGGTGCATGCCTGTAATCCCAGCTACTTGGGAGGCTGAGGCAGGAGAATCGCTTGAACCCAGGAGGCAGAGGTTGCAGAGAGCTGAGATCACGCCATTGCACTCCAGTCTGGGCAACAAGAGAGAAACTCCGTCTCAAAAAAAAAGAAGAAGACGCGTCTTGCTGGCCAGTCCCACCTGCGAGAAGATGTACCTCTGGGAGAAGTCAGAGGAGGAGGCATAGATGCTGGTGGAGGAAAAACAGATAGGGTAACATAGCAAGACGAAAAAGAAATAAAATACTCTTGGACCCCGTGTCTGACAAGTCAGTGGGGAAAACAGACAGACATCAGAAGTGGGTCAGGCTGGGCACAGTGGCTCAAGCCTGTAATCCCAGCACTTTGGGAGGCTGAGGTGGGTGGATCACTTGAGGTTTGGAGTTTAAGACCAGCTTTACCAACATGGTGAAACCCCATCTCTACCAAAAAATACAAAAAATATGTTAGCCGGGAAGTCTGAGGCAGGAGAATTGTTTGAACCTGGGAGGCAGAGGTTGCAGTGAGCCAAGATCATGCCACTGCACTCCAGACTGGGCAACAGAGAGAGACCATGTCTTTAAAAAAAAAAAAAAAAAAAAAAAAAAAGAAGTGGGAACAGCATGGGCAATCCAGTACCTGTACCTCCTGCCTCATGTAACTGTCTGTCCAGTCCAGTCTGTGTGGATAAGCATACACATACATACATATTTAATAATCATAGTGTCCATATACATTGTATTCTGCTGTTCTTTTTGAGCAGGGTCTCACTTTTTTGCCCAGGACTGGGGTGTGGTGGCGTGAACACTGCTCACTGCAGCCTCAAACTCGGGGGCTCAATCCTCCCACCTCAGGTCCCCAGTACCTGGGACTACTGGGCATGCACCACTATGCCAGGCTAATTTTTGTATTTTTTGTAGAGATGGGGTTTCTCCATATTGCCCAGGCTAGGCTTGAGCTCCTGAGCTCAAGCGATCCACCTGCCTCGGCTTCCCACGTTCTTTTTTAAAAGGCAGAAAATATTGGTTACATAATGTTCATAGGCATTACTATTATGTCTTATTGTTGTAAATTTAATGTAAATCACCATTTTAGATAACACCACAGAAACACAGATAATTTTTGTAATTGCTTAAAATATTTCCCTAGTCAAAGTCCTAAGGAATAGCAATACATTTTTTTTTCCATATGATAATGTTACCTTTCAAAGGGATAATCAAAATTTACAATGCTACCTCCAGTGTGTTTGGGTTATAATTTCACTTCAACCTTGTCAGAATTAATACACAAGTATTATTCTTTCCCTTATTTGTCACCTTATGGTAATAACTTGGTACTGCTGATTTAATTTGCATACATTTAATTATTACTGATGTTGAGCATCAAAAGGCAATCTTCAGGCAGGGCGTGGTGGTTCACAACTATAATCCCAGTGATTTGGAAGGCCGAGGCGGGAGGATCGCTTGAGGCTAGGAGATCAAGTCCAGCCTGGGCAACATAGTAAGACATTGTCTCTACAAAAAATTAAAAACAAGACTTAGCTTGATGTGGTAGTGTGTACTTGTAGTCCCAGCTACTTGAGAGGCTGAGGCAGGAGGATCACTTGAATCCCAGAGTTCAAGGCTGCAGTGAGCTAAGATTGTGCCACTACACTCCAGCCTGGGCAACAGAGCAAGACCCTGTCTCTTAAAATAAATAAATAAACAAGGTAATCTTTAAACAGGAACCAGCAACTGAACTAACAGTAACATAGCTCAGCATGGGCCAATTCCAGTTCCGTCATGAAACTGAAAATACTTCCCAGGCAGATGGCTGTATCTAGGCAAAACTGAAGTAGATCAAGCGTCTATTTAGCATTATGGCTTCGGGGCTTTCTTCTCAGTCTCTTTCTTCTGGTACTTTTCCCCTCCCTCGGACACTTGGAGCCTCAGTGGAGGTGGTGAGCTTGGTTGGAGGCTGGTTGGGAGCACAGGCTCTGGAGTTCAGCTGTTGATTTTGAATCCTGCCTTCCTTGCTTACCATCTGTGGGTCTTAGATAGTTGAGCCTTAGTTTGCTCTTTTGAAAAATCAAGATGATAATACCTATTTCACAGGGGGGTTGTGAGGATTAAATAAGATGATGAGATGACCAATGTGAGACCATGGCCCAGAGCCAACATGCAGGCTGCATGATGGAACGGGAGGCCTAGATGCTTCTGTGAGCTCCTACCATTTAGACCAGGGGTACCCAACCCCTGGGCAGTGGACTGGTACCGGTCCGTGGCCTGTTAGGAACTGGGCCGCACAGCAGGAGATGAGTGGTGGGTGAGCTAGCATCACTGCCGATGCTCCGCCTCCTGTTAGATCCGTGGCAGCATTAGACTCTCACAGGATTGTGAAGCCTGTTGTGAACTGCACGTGTGAAGGATCTAGGTTGAACACTCCTTATGAGGATCTAACGCCTGGTGATCTCAGGTGGAGCAGGAGTTTCATCCTGAAACCATTCCCTCCCTCTTCTCCCGTCCATGGAAAAATTGTCTTCCACGAAACCAGTCCCTGGTGACAAAAAGGTTGGGGACCACTGACCGCTGTCCTAGACCACCCAGATGTGCCTTCTTCAGAACTTCTTATGCCTTTTCTTTCCAATCACTTCTTTTTGCAAAATGTCCCAAACCAGGGTTCCATCAACTTTAATCTGTGTACCAATGTCCCATTAACTTCAATCTAAGTCCTGTCAACTTCAGTCTGTGTACCAATGGCCCATCAACTTTAAGTGCCTGAAGTAAAGGGATCCAGGGGTGAATTGTTAGCCAATGCTATAGTTTATTCAAGGTGGGGGCAGGCTTGGGGAAGTCAGGGGCCTCTCAGTACCCCTCAAGGCTAACCATGTAAGAATCCTTGAAACAAATGTGGAACTGGCTTGAGACCATATAGCTGTGGGATTTGTTTCACGGTTTAAGAGGACAAGAAACCGTACTCAGGTGCCTCTTTCTGAACTTCCAGAACAATCTCCTTGCCAAAGAACGGGAAGCTCCCTGTGCCAGACTAATCAGTGACTCTCCCTCAGATGCAGAAAAACTTAATTATAAATGCAAAGCAACAAAGTGCAAAATTGAGCAGTGAACAGATGTAGACAGAACATTTGCATTTGATATATAAAAGGTCAAACTGAGTAGAGGCAAGAAGGATGAGCAAGAAGCATGATGGATGTGGGTTGAATCTCAGCTCTGCCACTTACCAGCTGTAGAAATATTGTCACTTATTACTACAGATTGAACTTCCCAGATCCAAAAATGCAAAATGCCCGCAAATCCGAAACTTTATGAGTGCCCACTTGATGCTCAAAGGAAACGGTCATTGGAGAATTTTGGATTTCAGATTTTCAGATGTGAGATGCTCAACCAGCAAGCATAATGCAAATATTCCAAAATCAGAAGAAAGTTCAAAATCTCATGTATTTCTTGTCCCAAGCAGTTCAAATAAGGGATACTCAACCTGTATGTCAATTGTTATTTTATCATCTGCTACTTCCAGGGGAGGAAAAACTCACTTTTACATAGTTACCTTCATCAGATATTTCTCTGCAGGAAAAGTTTCATAAGCAAAGTCAAAAGAAAAATGGGAAAATGGGGAAAAATATTCACAGTGCATAGGAAAAGGCTAATTTCCTAACTTTACAAAGAGACCATACAAATGAAAGACAAAAATAAGTTCTCCTTAGACCCTTAGGAAGGATATGAGTAGGTGGATCATAGAAAAAGAGATACAAAAGCCCGTCACCTGTACAAAAATATGTTCTCTCTCGCTTGCAATTCAGGGAATGCTTCCATCTCCAGCTACATTGCTGGAGAAAATTTTTTAAAAGACCCATAACACAAGTACTAAAGAGATTTGGGGGAAAACTGCATTTTCATACCCAGTTTGTGGAAGGGGAAGTTGCGGCAATCTTTTATATTTATTTATTATTCATGTATTTATTTATTTATTTATTTACTTATTTCGAGACAGAGTCTTGCTCTGTCGTCCAGGCTGGAGTACAATGACACTATCTCGGCTCACTGCAAGCTCCACCTCCCAGGTTCACCCCATTCTCCTGCCTCAGCCTCCTGAGTAGCTAGGACTACAGGCGCCCGCCACCACACCCGGCTAATT
Source organism: Homo sapiens (assembly GCF_000001405.40). Classification (NCBI taxonomy): domain Eukaryota; kingdom Metazoa; phylum Chordata; class Mammalia; order Primates; family Hominidae; genus Homo; species Homo sapiens. The sequence goes on from NC_000012.12 coordinate 109,367,721, forward strand.
TTTTTGTATTTTTAGTAGAGACAGGGTTTCACCGTGTTAGCCAGGATGGTCTCGATCTCCTGACCTCATGATCCGCTCGCCTCCGCCTCCCAAAGTGCTGGGATTACAGGCGTGAGCTACCATGCCTGGCCTATTTTTAAATTAGTTTTTAAAGACAAGGTCTCGCTTTGTCACCCAGGCTGGAGTGCAGTGGCACAATCATGGCTCACTGCAACCTCAAACTTCTGGGCTCATATGATGCTCCCGCTTCAGCCTCCTGAGTTGCTGGGACTACAGGTGTTGCACCACCACTCATGGCCAGCAGCAATCTTTTTGATGAATATTTGCTAAGTAAGCTCTCCAAATTGTCTTGACCTAGCAATTCCTCCTCTGCAAGTATCTCCTACTGGTTCTCTCAAAGAAAAGGCCAAATTATAAGCAGGAAGATGCCCATTACAAGATGGTTTGTGACATGCAAAACTAAAAACAAAGTTAGTTTATAGGACTGTCCGCTCCTCAAGGACAGGAATATCTTTCTGGCTTGTTCACTGAAATATCCCAAGCAAGTGCCTAAAGCAGGGCTTGAGATGTAAAAAGAGCTCAATAGATGTTTGGCAGATAATTGAAGGTAATAAACAATGGGACAACTTACAGTCATTAAAAAGAATAAGATAGGCTGGGCACGGTGGCTCATGCCTGTAATCCCAGCACTTTGGGAGGCCGAGGCAGGCGGATCACCTGAGGTCAGGAGTTTGAGACCATCCTGGGCAACGTGGTGAAACCCAACCTCTACTAAAAATATAAAAATTAGCCAGGTGCAGTGGCACACACCTTTAATCCCAGCTACTCGGGAGGCTGAGGCAGGAGAATTGCTTGAACCCGAGAGGTGGAGGTTGCAGTGAGCTGAGATCAGCCTGGGCAACAAAGCAAGACTCCATCTTAAAAAAAAAAAAAAAAAAAAGGGTTCTTGCTGATAGGAAAAGATGTTAAGGATATATTGGGGTTTTTCCAACTTTTATTTTAGATTCAGGGGTACACGTGCAGGTTTGTTACCTGGGTTTATTGTGTGATGCTCAGTACCCAATAGTTAGTTTTTCAACCCTTTCCCCCTCTCTTCCTTCCCCCTCCAGCAGTCCTCAGTTTCTGTTGTTGCCATCTTCATGTCCATGAGTACCCAGCGTTTAGCTCCCACTTGTGAGAACATGCCATAATTGGTTTTCTCTTCCTGCATTAATTAACTTAGGGTAATGGCCGGTAGCTGCATCCATGTTGCTGCAAAGGACATGATTTCTTTCTTTTTTTTTTGAGACTGAGTTTCACTGTTGTCACCCAGGCTGGAGTGTAGTGGTGTGATCTCGGCTCACTGCAAATTCTGCCTCCTGGGTTCAAGCAATTCTCCTGCCTCAGCCTCCCGAGTAGCTGGGATTACAGGCATGTGCCACCACACCTGGCTAATTTTTGTACTTTTACTAGAGACAGGGTTTCACCATGTTGGCCAGGTTAGTCTCAAACTCCTGACCTCAGGTGATCCAAATGAGCCACGATGCCTGGCTCATTCTTTTCATGGCTGCACAGTATTCCATGGTGTATATGTACCAAATTTTCTCTATCCAAGAGAATATATTGCTAAGGAAGAAAAAAGCAAAATACAGCATGCTGCATCTTATGTGATTTTGTCTGGATAAATACAAAAACCAAATGATATCGAGGCATAAATTTTCAGGAAGGATGCACAAGGAAGAGTGGTAAACCTCTGGGGAGAGACTGAGGTTCAAAGAGATGAGAGTGGCTTTTGCTTTTCAGACTGTTTGACGCTTAAAAATTGGATGGGTATTAATGATAATATTTAAAAATCTCTCTCTCACACACACCCCCATAGACATGCATGTACATGTGTGCCATGTTACAGGACATATGGCCAGATATCATGGGAACCAAGAAGTTACCAGGTTGTAAGAGTCTGTGTCTGTCTTTCTATCTCTGGGATTGCAAATTGATGTCTTTGCCTATGCATTGGCCAGTATGGTCAGCAGCATAGGTCGTCATAACCCTGTAATTCACTTCTCCATGACAAAATGAGTTAAGCCTCATAGGCTCCCCTGTATTAGTCCATTTTCATGCTGCTGATAAAGACATACCTCAGTTGGGGTAATTTATAATTATAAAGAAAAAGAGGTTTAACGGACTCACAGTTCCACATGGCTTGGGAGGCCTCACAATCATGACAGAAGGCGAAAGGCACGTCTTACATGGCAGCAGAAAATAGAGAACTTGTACAGGGAAACTCCCTTTTATAAAACTATCAGATCTTGTGAGACTTGTTCACTGTCATGAGAACAGCACAGGGAAGACCCGCCCCCGTGATTCAATTACCTCCCACCATGTCCCTCCCATGACACATGGGAATTGTGGGAGCTACAACTCAAGATGAGATTTGGGTGGGGACACAGCCAAACCATATCACTCCCTAACCCAGATTCCCAGGCCCATTTCTGTCTTGCCAATGTAGGTCTATTCCCCTCCCTGGCTGAAGCCAGGGTAGTGCCATGCCCTTGTCTACATGCGACCAGCTCAGCTCACCCCTTCAACAGGACTGAGCAGGGGAAGGATTGTCTTGGAAGAGGATGTAGGTGGGAAGGTAGTTCCTGTCATCTCTATCATGCCAAGGTCCAAAGGAGGCAGTGACATTGGTCAAAGTCACATGTCTACCCAGCAGTGGGATGAGGCTGAAATTCTGATCCCTTCCACAGCCTCCCCCATCACTTAGCTTCCCTGTTTATACTTTCACAAAGAGGAAAATACCATCTGGCTATGGAGTTGTTGTGGGTAATACATGAGACAGAGATTTGTAAACTGCCCAGTTACCGGGCTCTGTGCACAGTAAAAACTCAATAAATAGAAAGGGCTACTACCCATTTTAATATTACATTTTATTGGCAGGGAGGTACATTTGGGTAAATCAATGTTGATTTTCCTTCTTTAACCTGTGCTCGCTCTCAGACCAGTGGCTTTAGTTAGAATGCTTCCTCTTTGAATTCTCTAGATTATTTCAAATCTATACATGGCACTGAATTTATTCACTCATTTGACAAATCTGCTGAGCACCAATTATGTGGCAAGACTTGAGCTAGAAGCTGGGGACACACAATGAAAAAGACTTACCCCTGAGAGGCTTCTAGAAGGGCTCAGCCTAAGATCAAGGAATCAAGTAATTAGAATCACTGTCAGCTGCAGTTATTAGGATAATGGCAGTTTCATAACTGTAACTTGTACAAAATGCTATAAAGAAATAGGGTGAAGAGATAATAATAGAGGAATTTGCTTATTTTATAAATGTTTCAAATACAAGTTACAAAATTTAGAAAGAGCTAACAGGTATATATAACAAAGCTTAAGCCTTCTTTTCCAGAAGCAACTACGGTTTTCAATTCCTTGGGCATGCTTTTAGGGAGATGTTGTGACTTTATAAGCATCTATGTGTACACACGTACATTGGTTTTCTTTTTTTTCTTTCTTTTTTTTTTTTTTTTTTTTGAAATAGGGTCTCACTCTGCTACCCAGGCTGGAGTACAGTGGTGCAGTTATGACTCACTGCAGCCTCTACCTCCCCGGGCTCAGATGATCTTCCTACCTTGGCCTCCTAAGTAGCTGGGACTTCAGGTGTGTGCCATCGCACCTGGCTCATTTTTGTATTTTTCTGTAGAGATGGGGTTTGGCCATGTTGCCCAGGCTGGTCTCAAACTCCTGAGCTAAAGCAATCTGCCTGCCTACGCCTTCCAAAGCTCTGGGATTACAGGTGTGAGCCACCATGCCCAGCCTTGTTTTTCTTACAAATGGTAGCATTCTATTTAGGAGATTCTATAGCTCTATGGTCTTTCATTGGATGCATGAACCATAATTTAATTTACCTGTTTCCTATTGATGGATATTGAGGTTGCTTATTATTTTGTTCACATGAGAGCATATCTAGAGGATAAATATCTACAAATGAAATTATTGTGTCAAAGAATATATGCCTAATTTTTGAAATATACTTTCAAATTACATTTCATAAAGATTCTATAATATATACACCTTCTCACTTGTAATAGATGCTAGTAATTCCTTTCCACACTTACTGAGAGTATGTTCTCAAACTTAGCTATCAGAGTGCCAAAAATGAAAATCGTATCTCAGTATATTTGAATAGCATTTTTCTTTTGAGTGAAATGGAGTATCTTCTACATATATTTAAAAGACAAAGTTGTATTTTCTGTGAATTGTTGTTTACATCCTTCATTTTTGGTGTATTTGTGTGGGGTGTTGGACTTTTATTGATTTATGGAAGCTTTTTGTATATTAAGAAAACTAATGATTTATCTGAGCTATAAATTGTAAATATTTTTCCTAGAATTGATTTGTCTTTTAACTCTGCTTATAATGTTTTTTTCTAGGGAGAAATATTTTCTACGTAGTTGAATGAACAGTCTGTTCTTTTGTGGATTCTGGTTGTTTTTAGTCATACTTAGGCATGTCTTGCTTCATTCATATTTTCTTGTACTTTCCTTTCATTATTTTATTTTTTAGTGTTTAAATCTTTGATCCTTCCAGAATTGTTTTGGTGTAAAATATGACATAGATGTCCAGCCTTCCTTTTATAGAACTATCCAGTGTTTCCAACATTAATTTTGAAAATTAGGTTGATAAATGTATAATTTACATTCAGTAAAATTCACACTTTTTAGATGACATTTCTCTGAGTTTTTACAATTGCATAATGCCATTTATTGAATAACTCATTTTCTTACCATGAATTTGAAATACTACCTTGACTATTTAATAAATCCACCTGTATGTTTGGGATAAGTTCTATTCTTTCCATTTAGCAATATTGAATTGCTTGTCAATTCATGTTCAAGGTTATGTTATTGAATTTATGTCTTAATTAAAGACATATGTCATCATGTCTTAATTTATGTCTTAACATTGAATTTATGTCTTAATATCTGCTAAGGCTGGTACCTTCTCATTAATCTTTTTGTTTCTTTCAGAAATTTCCTGGATATTCTTACTTATTTTTCTATATGAGCTTTAGACTCAATTTGTTTAGCATGCAATAAATCTTGGCAGTATTTTAAATGGGACTTTATTTTATAGTTGAACTTAGGTAAATTAATAACTATATGATATTGAATCTCCCTATCCAAGAACATAGTATATCTTTCCATTTGTTTGAATTTTTTGTGTGTTCCTCAAGAGTGTGTTAAAATTATTTTTATAGAAATCTGGCACATTTGGTGATAAACTTATTCTATATTTTATCTCTTTAGTCAATATCTTAAGGGGAGTTATTTCTACCATTGCATATTCTAACTAATAATTATTTGGTTACATTAGAGCTATTGATTTTTGTTTATTAACTTTGTATATGGCCTGAATTTACATATCATATATAATGTTTGGATTTTCCTTGGAAATAGTAATCAGCAGATGCTTTTCTTCTCCAATGTTTCTATTTTGATTTCCTCCTCTTATCTAATTGCATTGGCCAGTACTTCGAATTAGGACGATAAAGAAAACTTACGTCTTTTTCTTGATTTTAAGAGGCATGCTTTTATGTTTATTAAGTATGGTGCTAGCTTTTGAGACATAGCTGTATTTTTATAATGTTAAATAAGTGTCTACTGTTTTTGTAATTATCAAGAATGTAATATAATTATAATTATCAAGAATGAAAATTGAGTTGATCAAATGCTTTTTTAAAACTTAGATGTATAATTTTTCACATGATCTATTGATTTGGTAAATCTATTATTAATAGGTTTTCTAATATTGTATTCTTAGAATAATCTATTTTATTACTAGATTTTCTGATATAACATTCCTGGAATAAATCCCATTTGGTCATGTTTTACTATTTCTTTATGTTTTGTTGAATTCAACTTGCTAATCACTTATTGAGGAATTTGGTTTTGATATTCCTAAGATGAGCTTGGTCTAGTTACTTTTATATTTTTATTACAAAATATCACACACAGAAGAGTATATATAAATATGTATAACTTAAAGAATAACAAACACTCATATGCCTCCACCCAGTGAAAGATACAAAACCCACCCTTGGTTTTCTTTGTTGTTTTACCACCTGTAAAAGTATTCTCTAGCCAGAGTGGTGGCACATACCTGTAATCCCAGCTACTCGGGAGGCTGAGGCAGGAGAATCACTTGAACCTGGGAGGTGGAGGCTGCAGTGAGCTGAGATCACACCACTGCACTCCAGCCTGGGCGACAGAGTGAGACTCTGTCTCAAAGAAAGCAATAGATTGCTTAATTTTGCTTATTTGGGGCCCTTGTTATAATAGAATTAAACTACATATACTCTTATGTGACTGGCTTTCTTTGAACAATGCTGTTCTTTGAGATTGAACCACGTTGATCAGCACGTGATGGATTCACTTCCGCAGTTGTACACAGCATGACTGAATTAAACATTTTTGTTGAATCTATCCTGAATTGGCCTGTTTTTCCATTTCTATAAGTCATCTTTTGTGTCCTTCTGGAGTGTGTTAAAAAGAATATGGATTCTGGAGTCAGGCTGTTTAGTGTCCATCTCAGTTGACATGTACTAGCTATGTGGCAAGTTATTTAACCCCTCTGTGTCTCAGTTTCCCCGTCTGTAAAATGGGAGCTAAAATACCTACTACCTCATAGGGTTATTGAAAGGTTTCAAATGAATTCATATATAAGAAGCACTTGGGGCAGTGCCTGGCATACTGTAAGTTCTATATAATTGTTTGTGGTATGACTATACCACTGTGCAATCATAATAGTAACATATTCTTTTATTGGTGGAAGTTGAGTGTGTTTCTTGTTTTGGAGTTGTTATAAATAACGCTGCCATGTACCTTCCTATGCTTGTCCCCCACAGCACATAAACAAGAGGAATTAAGTGGCTTGGTCAGAGGATATGTGTCTTCAGCTTTTCTGGGCTATACTAAATTGTTTTCCAAAGTAATTGTACCAATTTACATTCCCATCCATATAGTATAAGAGTTTCTCTTGCTCTACATCCTTCCCAGCTTGTCTTGTTAGGCTTTAAAATTTTTGTCAGTTTGGTAAGTATAAAATTATATTCCGGTGCATATTAATTTGCACATTTCATATTTGTATTGGCCATTTGATTTTTTTTTTTTCGAGACGAAGTCTGGCTCTGTTGCCCAGGCTGGAGTGTAGTGGCATGATCTCGGCTCACTGCAACCTCCACCTCCTGGGTTCAAGCAATTCTCCTTACTCAGCCTCCTGAGTAGCTGGGATTACACGTGCCTGCCACTGTGCCCAGTGAATTTTTGTATTTTTAGTAGAGACGGGGTTTCGCCATGTTGGCCAGGCTGGTCTCAAACTCCTGACCTAAGGTGATCCACCTGCCTTGGCCTCCCAAAGTGCTGGGATTACAGGCGTAAGCCACCATGCCCGGCGGATTTTTTTTTTTTTTTTGACAAGGTCTGGCTCTATTGCCCAGGCTGGAGTGCAGTGGCACAATCTTGGCTCACTGCAGCCTCCACCTCCCAGGCTCAAGCCACCCTCCCACCTCAGCCTCCTGAGTTGCTGGGGCTACAGGCGTGTACCACCACATGCAGCTAATTTTCATATTTTTTGTAGAGATGGGGTTTTGCCATGTTGCCCACACTGGTCTCAAACTCATGGCCTCAAGCGATCTGCCCACCTCGGCCTCCCAAAATGTTAAGATTACAGGTGGGAGCCACCACACCCGGCCAGCCATTCAATTTTATATAAAATGCCTGTTTGCCACCATCCTATTTTTAGATTGAACTGTTTGATTTTTCTTATTCATTTCTAGATCCTTTTTATGTATTGGAAATAGCTTCCCCAACTCTATAGCTTTGCGCTTCACTCTTTTTATATCATTTAATAAAATGTATTGATTTTAATGTAATCAAGATTGTACATCATTCCCTTTATGGTTGATGCTTTTTCATATGAATTATGAAGAAATCCTGGCTAGGAATAGTGGCTCACACCTGTAATCCCAGCACTTTGGAAGGCCGAGGCAGATGGATCACTTGAGCCTAGGAGTTTGAGACAAGCCTGGGCAATATGGCAAAACCCTTTCTCTATAAAAAAATACAAAAATTAGCAGGGTGTGGTGATGAGTGCCTGTGGCCTCAACTACTTGGGAAGCTAAGGCAAGAGGATCATTTGAGCCCAGAAGTTTGAGGCTACAGTAATCTATAATAGCACCACTACACTTCGGCGTGGGCAACAGAGCAAGACCCTGTCTCAATCAGTCAATCAATGGAAAGAAAGAAATAATTTCCTACCCCAAGGCCATGAAGATATCTTCTATATTCTCTTCTAAAGCTTTATAGTTTTGCCTTTCACATTTAGATTTTTTTTGGTAACCATCTTACTGAAATACAATTCATACACCATACAATTTAGAGTAGATACCTCAAGGTTTTCAGTTTATTCACAGAGTTACACAACCATCAACACAATCAATTTTAGAGCATTTCAACACCTTGAAAAGAAATTTCATGCCCTTTAGCAGTCACCTCAAACTGCCTAGCACTTGGTAACTACTGATCCACTTTCCATGTCTATATATTTCACTGTTCTGGATATTTCATATAAATGAAGTCATATAGTAGTTGTCCTTTTGTAACTGCTTCTTTCACCTAGCATGATGTTTTCAAGGTTCATCCATGTTGTAACATGTATCAGTACTCCTTTCTTTTTGTTGCCACATATAGGTCTTTAATCCACTGAAAATTACTTTTCTGTGTGGTATGGGGTAGGCATACAGTTTTTTTGCACACACCTCCCAGTGTCCCAGGATGATATTTGGAAAAGGCTGCCCTTTTCTCACTGCTTTGTTCTGCTACCTTTGTCAACATAAAGTGTTCATTTATTTGTAGGTCTGATCCTGGGCTCTCTATTCTGTTACACTGGTGTCTTTGTATCCCCATGCCAATATCATACTATCTGGATTAATGTAGTTTTACAGTATGGCTTGGTAACTAGTAGAGCAAGTCATCAGACAACAATAAGCTGTTCTGTATACAGATTATCTTGGCTATTCTTGGTCCTTTGCAATTTCACAAAAATTTCAGAAACAGCTTGTCAAGTTTTACTTAAACTTCTTGGGATTTTGATTGTGATAGTATTGAATCTAAGGACCAGTGTGGGAGAACATAACATCTTTAGAATACTGAGTCTTTCCATTCATGAATATGGTATACCCTTTTATTGTTCTTTAATTTCTTCTAATTGTTTTCCTTTAAAATGTATTGAGGTGAAATTCACATAATGTAAAATTAGCTGTTTTAAAGTAATCAGATTCAGTGGCATTTTGTAAACTCACAGTATTGTGCAGCCGCCACTTCTTTATAGTTTCAAAACATTTCCATCACTCCAAAGTAAAATATCTTCCCATTAAGCAGTTTCCACTCATGTTCCCTCCCACCATCTCTTGCCGTCTTAGTCCATTTTGTGTTGCTATAAAGGAATACTTGAGGCTGAATAGTTTATAAAGAAAGAAAGGTTTATTTGGCTTATAATTCTGATGGCTGGAAAGTTCAAGATTGGGCATCTGCACGTGTTGAGGGCCTCATAGTGGAAGATAAAGGGAAACTAACATGTGCAGAGATCACATGGTGAGTGAGGAAGCAAGAGAGAGGAGGTGGAGGTATCACCTGATGGGCTCTTTTTAAATAACCAGCTCTTTCAGGAACAAATAGAGTGAAAACTCACTCACCCTGAGGGAGGGCATTAATTTATTCATGAGGGATCCATGGGATGGAGCCTATGACCCAAGCACCTCCTAGAAGGCCCCACCTCCAACACTGGGGATCAGGTTTCAACATGAGACTTGGTGGAAACAAACCATACCCAAACCAAAGCATTTGGCAACCACCAATCTGCATTCTGCCTCTATGGCTTTATCAGTTCTGTTTATCCAATAATGTCTTATCATTTTCTCCTATAGCAGTCTTATATATCTTCTATTAGATTTATTCCTAAAGAATCTTTAACTTTATTGTGAAATGTTTTAAATAAGTATTATGAAAAATAAACATTCTATATGTCATGCAACCAATAAGCTTTGTATAAAAGTAGAAAGAATAGTATAATGAATCTCCTAGTAACTCTCACCACCAGGATAATAATCATCTCATGGCCAGTGATGTCTTACCTCCTTCCCCACTTGTTTCCCATAGCCAGGTTACTCTGATACAGTTCCAGACACAATGTCATTTCCTCCGTATTTCAGTATTTATTTCTAAGTGATACAGAATCTTTTAAAAACATAACCACTATGCCATACGTTGTGATTATTGATAACTCTTTTTCATCTCTTTTTTAAAATAACAGCTTTATTGAGATCTAATTCATATGCCATACAATTAATCTATTTAAAGTGTACAGTTCACTTGTTTTTAATATATTTGCAGAGTTGTGCAGTCATCACCACACCATGGACATGTTTCCGTTTCTCTTGGGTAGATACCTAAGAGTGGAACTGCTGGGTCATATGGTAGCTCTGTTTAATCTTTGGAGGAGCTACCAGAATGTTTTCCAAAGTGGCTGCACCATTTTCTTTTTCTTTTTTTTTCTTTTTTATTTATTTATTTATTTTTTTGAGATAAGGTCTCACTCTTTTGCCCAGGCTGGAGTCCAGTGGTGTGATCACGGCTTACTGCAGCCTTGACCTCCCAGACTTAAGCAATCCTCCCACCTCAGCCTCCCAAATAGATGGTACCACAGGTGTGCACCACCATACCCAGCCAATTTTTTTTTTCATTTTTGTAGAGATGTGGTCTCACTGTGCTACCCAGGCTAGTCTCAAACTCCTGAGCTCAAGCCCCCGTCTGGGCCTCCCAAAAGGCTGGGATTGCAGGCATGCGCCACTGTGCCCGACCTGCACCATTTTATATTCCCACCAACAATGGATGAGGGTTCTAAATTGTTTACTTCCTTGCCAACACTTATTATCTGATATTTTCCCTGGTGAGGGCCTCAGGCTACTCGTAGTGGAAGGTAAAAGGAAGCTAGCACGTAGAGAGATTACATGGTGTGAGAGGAAGCAAGAGAGAGAGGGAGGGAGGGATAGGGGTGGGTGTGAAGTGGTATCTCATTGTGGTTTTGAGTTGCATTTTCTACTTTTTTCTCTTTTAAAATATAGGTTCCCTTGTAGTTTCCTTCAACAAATGTTGAAGAAAGTAACTAGATTTTCCTGTAGCGTCTCCCACTCTGGATTTAGGTGATGGTATACTACAGCATTGTTTAATGTCTTTTCCATTCCTTACTGTCCTTTGAATTGGAAGTTAGATCTAAACCTGTGCTCCCTGAGTACTAGGCACTGGTCACCTATGGCTATGTAAATTTAAATAAATCAAAATTAAATACAAATTTCAGTTCCTCAGCCTCACCACATTTCAAGTGCTAAAAGGCCACACATGTGGCTAGTGGCTGCTGTACTGAACAGTGAAGCTATCAAACATTTTCATCATGTCAGAAGATTCTATTTGACAGCACTGACTTAGGGGTTAGATCAGATTCAGCTCTGTAGGATTTCAATCTTTTGAAACTTGAGATTTACTTTATGGCTGGGAATAATGTCCATTTTTAAAAAGTTCTATGTGCTTTTGAACTAAAATGTATATGCTCCAGTTGTTGGGTGCAACGGTCTACATGTGTTAGTTGATTGTGGTGTTTGATTTTCTGTGTGCTATTGAGCGTTTTTTGCTATTGGTTTCTGTCAGTTTCTATCAGAGAGAGGCTAGTTATGATCCCTCACTATGGGATTGTTTTAGTAAACTGCAATATAGTAAGCACAAATAGTGAAATACTTTGCAGTTCTAAAAAATAATGAGGAATATCTCTCTAAACAACTCCCAAATGAGCTCCAAAAAAGACAAGATTGAAAAATAGCATATATAGTTTGCAAACATTAGCCTAAGAAAAGAGGAAAACAAATCTACATGTAAATTGCTTATATTTAAAAAAGAAACTGTTTTAGCAATTTTAACCTTTTTTTTTTTTTTTTTTTTTTGAGATGGAGTCTCACTCTGTCACCAGGCTGGAGTGCAGTGGAGCAATCTCAGCTCACTGCAACCTCCGCTTCCCAGGTTCAAGCCATTCTTTTGCCTCAGCCTCCCAAGTAGCTGAGACTACAGGCACTCACCACCACACCTAGCTAATTTTTGTATTTTCAGTACAGATGGAGTTTCACCATGTTGGCCAGCATGGTGTCGATGTCTTAACCTCGTGATCCGCCCACCTCAGCCTCCCAAAGTGCTGGGATTACAGGCATAAGCCACCACGCCCGGCCAGCAATTTTAACTTTTTAAAATTTTTATTTCATTTTTTACTTTTTGTAGAGATACGGTCTCGCTTTGTTGCCCACGCTGGTTTCAAACTCCTGGCCTCGAGTGATCCTCCTGCCTCAGCCTCCCAAAGTGCTGGGATTACACATGACAGCCACCGCACCCAGGCCAATTTTAACATTTAAAAAATAGTTGTTTACAGGAGGAGGATGAGAATGCAGAAGAAAGGGTAAGAACAGGAGCTAGGTCTCTGAATATGCCCTAATTTATTCCTTGGCATCATTAAATATTCTACATACTTATAAAACAAAATTAAATTTAAAAATCAATCCGCTGACATAAACGGTAAAATGAAAAAAAAATGTACATCTGGTTGCTAGCATAGAGAGATTGACTATTTCAAGGGAACCTAAAAAACACAGTAATGTGTCTCTACAATTCCAGTGAGGTTTACCCTGAGGACAAAGAATTCAAAAAGTTTTAGATGGTTTTCAGTAATCCCACTGGTGACAGTGTTGGTATTATTATTTTGAGACTGTTGTGTGTATATTGTTAATAAAGCCAATGAAACATTGCTCATGTCATTGAACTAGAATTTTTGGATGGGAGAAAAGAGAAGAGATAGAAAACTAAGGTTAAGGCTGGGTGTGATGGTTCACACTGGTAATTCCAGAATTTGGAAGGCCAAGGTGGGCAGATCACTTCAGGTCAGGAGTTCGAGACCAGCCTGGCCAACATGGTGAAACCCCATCTTTACTAAAAATACAAAAATTAGCCAGGCATGGTGGCCCGCACCAGTAGTCCCAACTACTCGGGAGGCTGAGGCAGGAGAATCACTTGAACCCGGGAGGCAGAGGTTGCAGAGAGGTGAGATCACGTCATTGCACTCCAGCCTGGGCAACAGAGCGAGACTCTGTCTCAGAAAACTAAGGTTAAGTTCAAACCTCTTCATTCTATATTAAATTGATAGAATCAGAATAAACTCATAATATATTTTATTTTTAAAATGCTTTCTTCTGCTATTGAAAAGGTCTAGAAACAATGATTAACCCTGCAGCAATGACCACTCCTAGGGTATGAACGTGGCAGCTACCATCTACCCACTCAAAGAAACCAGAGTTCATTGGAGAAAAGACAGATTCAAGGTCTAGGTTGAAAATAAATAAGCTTTGAAACAACTCAGCATCCTTATAAGCAAGAAAGCTCATAAAGACAAGGCCATGTCAGAAGGACTCGAATCACTCAGGTATGACAGCATGCACCTGTAATCCCAGCTACTTGGGAAGCTGAGGAGAGAAGATGGCTTGAGCTCAGGAGTTCAAGATTACAGTGAGCTATGACTGCACTACCGCAGTCCAGGCTGGATGACAGAGTAAAAATCCTATCTCCAAAATAACAATAATAAATTAATTAAACTAAAAATTACTCAAGAGCCTACTTGATAGATTCCCACTGGCCAAATTTGGGATAAATTGGGCATCAATAAGGTTAACTGTTGGCTGGGCGCAGTGGCTCATACCTGTAGTCCCAGCACTTTGGGAGGCCAAGGTGGGTGGATCACTTGAGGTCAGGAGTTCGAGACCAGCCTGGCCAACATGGTGAAACCCCGTCTCTACTAAAAATACAAAATCTTAGTTGGGTGTGGTGGTGCAAGCCTATAATCCCAGCTACTTGGTTCATGCCTATGATCCCAGCTACTCTGAGGGACAAGAATTGCTTTAACCCAGAAGGCGGAGGTTGCAGTGAGTCAATATCGCACCACTGCACTCCAGCCTGGGCAACAGAGCAAGACTCTGTCTTAAAAAAAAAGTTAACTATCATGGCATGAAACATAACCAATACATATAAACCTTTAATTTGTAATGATATTAAAAACTCATTGTCACCTTGGGAGGAAGCAGTGGAACCAACTCATTATTCTGAAAACTAGCAAATCAAACATTTATCCTGCCTTTCCCTTGCAAACTGTACCACAGGGCAACCAAACAGTTAATAAGGGAAATTTCTCTTTATAGAACAGTCTCATCTAATAAATGAAGATGGTTTGATAGAACTGGAATATCAAACTCCTAAGAAAATGTGGATTTGGGTAGTGTGTATCAGAAAACACTGACATCCTGAAAAGACAGCCAGCCCTCATGTGTCTCCTTCTGGAAGTATAATATGCTGCCTATGAAGTCTTTTTTTTTGCCAAAACCAATCAATCTTGTATCTGATTGGACCTCTAATTCAAACAACCAGTTTTCAGGAAATGCAGGAGAAAGACAGACATGTTAAATGACTCCTTAAGAATGCAATTAACAAAACCTAGAATGTGAGAAATTCTACAAGACAGATTGTCCAATTTTCTCTATGAATAAATTGCAAGAAAGAAATGGAGGGAACCTATAGAACAAAAGAGACTTGAGAGACACATTGGCTAAATGCAATGTGTGGACCTTGTTTGGATCCTGATTTGAGCAAACCAATTGTAAAATATAGATATAATTAGAGAAATTTGAACATTAGGTATTATAATTAGTATTAAGGAATTATTATGGTATTCTTTATGATAATGGTGTTGTGATTACATATAGGTATATAAGTGCATGTATAGTTTTAGAGCTCCTATGTTTTAGAGATACCTACTAAAATATTTATACATAAAGCGATATAATGTTTTGTGATTTACCTCGAAATAATCCAGTGCTGGGGGAGTAGTGAAACACAGCTGGAATAGGGGAAGGCATACGTTCATTGTTGAAGCTGTGTATATTGAGTTTGTTGTACTTTTGTTAGTTTTGTGTATGAGAACTTTTCAAAATATCTTTATATATATATATTTACAGGAAAAATATATTTTAAAAATATGAATTAAAATAATGATATATATAAATAAATATATAAATATATAAAAAATAAATATAAAGAAAAGATGAAGTAAAAAATAATACTGGCAGTACACAGACAATGACAATACATGTGAAGGAAGTGCTCAAATGATGGTGCTTGGGCAATAAAGGCTCGGGGGCTATGCAGTGGTTTGCAAACTCTCTTCTGCCCTAAGCTTTCCCCAGAACCTCTCCCATGTTTCTGTGGGGCAACCCAGTGAAACTCTCACCCCCTACTTCAATCAGAAAGGTCTGCTTTCCTCAATTTTACATATTAAGGTTTCTTATAACATTTCCCTTGAACAAAGGATTTTGACATTTCAAATAAAATTCAAAAATGACAGCTTCAAGGCTTATCATCTACCCTCTTCTCCCCTTAAAAAATAGCCCTTACTCTTCCTCCAGAACTTTAGGGTAGTAGCCAAAACAGCTGGCCAAGTTTAACATGGGAGAACTGTGGCTCACATTCAAACTGCTGTCCTCCCAGTGGAAAAGTTCTGTTCCGCATGTGTATTAGTCAGGATAAGCAGTCTTCAGCTACAATAACAAACAGCCCCAAAACTCAGAAGTTTCCCATAACAGGAGTTTATTTCTTACGTACACAAAGTCTACTGTGGGTGTTGATGACTCTTCAAGACATCTCTCCTCCATGTGATGGCTCAGGAATCCAGGCTGTTTTGATCTTGTGGCTTGTCCATTCAGCAAAAGAAATTCTCAGTCATTGCAGTATCAAAGAAGTTCTAATAACACTGGAAGGGTCTTACACAAATGTCACTTCTATTTACAGCCAGTTGGCCGGAAGTAGTCAAGCAACTCCACCTAACTGCAAGGGAGTTTGTAAATGTGGGGAAGTCCACGGAATAGCTGGCAGGCATTTCTGCCTCTACCATGGCATCTCACCACCTTTCCACATACTGTGGCCTCCCTGTCATCTCCCCACCCCGACTCCACATACTGGGTCAAGCATTAGATTATGTAGAAGATGATCAGATCATCACTGAGTACATGATACTTCCAAAATGATGGTTCTGGTTTGAGTGTTTCCTTGAATCCCCTGCTTTTAGATGAGCAACAGGTCTAAACCATCCAAGACAAAGAGTGGCTTGCTGCAGAGGCTGCAAAATAATGTCCTGCAAGGGTAAATTGTACGACAGGACTGGGTATGTAATTCCAAACTTCTGACTTAAATAATCGGAAGTTCTGGCAACACAGGCCCTATATTTGTGCCTGATGTCAACCAGCTGGAGCCAGACAGTAGCTACACACCAGAGATGGCCATTCATTCCTGAGTCTAACCCAGTCCCCATCACCTGGCAGCTTGACTCAGTCATGGTACCTGCTGGAACCCTGTAACAGGCAGAATCTGTGATCCCTGCACCATGGTTATGCACAGTTAGGATCCTCCACAGTTTTATCACCCCAAAGATGGAGTTCTTTCTTAGATGTAACTTAATTTGATTTAATTTAATTTTCTTAGGTGTAATTGAAGATCTCTTTAATTTCCTCCCTCTTATTTAATCTGGATTTAATGCTCTCTTTATAAGTCTCTTAGTCATCTTTTTGGTCAAGGCTGAATCACTCCAACTTCTTGATTACCCTTCTCCTTTATGTCCCAATATTCATCCCTTTGATGGTCCATGTCACTCTTATTGGGACACTCTCGTTTTCTCACGCCCTTTAAAAGATAACTGGAAATCAACAAAGGAATCGAGGTGTCAGAACTGAAATATTGCAATAAACAAAACTCTAGTCTGAAGTGAATGGAGTCTGCTTTGACCCTGGCAAGTTAAAAATCATTGTCATGTTCCTTAATCTACAAGGTTTTGTCAAATTTCTTTGGGCTTCAAGTCACATCAGTTCCTAGGCTGACTGCAGGAGTACCCCACCCTCCCATCCTTAGGACCAGGCTAAGAGAGAAATTTGGTTAATCTCTGCATCCTCCACCTGCAGCAACCTGACTGCAGTAATATTTCTGGGTGCAGCTCCAGACATTATTTCAGACACCAACCCACCTCCAATTTAATAGAGGCTCATTGACTCCTAATCAGCAGACTTGCTTTACTATGTTTCTATTTCTAATAATCGTGATTATTGATACTAATGATGACAAAAGCAAGCACTCACTAAATTTAAATTGTGCCTGGCAGGGTTCCATGTGCTTTACATGGTTCTGGTGAAACTGACAACCCTATGAGGTAAGTACAATTATAATTCCGTTTTATAGAGATGAAACAAGAGACTTGGGACTCTCCCAAGATTATACTGCCAGGAAGCAACAGAGATAGGATTTGAACTTGGAAATGCTCGTGTTCCAACGTCTTAATCATTATGCTATGCTATATGTGGTACAGCATGGAAATATTTGGGATTACTAAAATGTTTCTTTTTTTCTTTCTTTCTTTTCTTTTTTTTTTTTTAAGACAATGTCTCACTCTGTTGCCTAGGCTGGAGTGTAGCAGTGCAATCATGGCTCATTGCAGCCTCAGCCTTCTGAGGTTCATGCGATCCTCCCACTTCAGCATGAGCAGCTGGGACTACAGGCACGCACTGCCACACCCAGCTAGTTTTCATATTTTTAGTAGAGACAGAGTTTCAACATGTTACTCAGGCTGGTTTCAAACTCCTGGGCTCAAGTGATCCGCCTGCCTTGGCCTCCCAAAGTGCCAGGATTACAAACACGAGCCTACCACGCCCAGCCTGAAATCACTAAAATATTGTTTGATCTAAATGCATTGTTTTGAATGTTAGGTTGCTAGTGATTAAGGCTCTTCTAGCTCCATTTGGCTAGTGTAGGGAGACATCTGGTGGCCATTCTGTTTTTTAAAACTTTTTTTATGGAAAACTTCAAATTTATGCAAAGTAAACAGAATAGTATCATAAATCCCCCTCTACCCACCACCTAGCTTTAACAATTAACATTCTGCCATTCCGTTTATATTCATACCTCCAGCCAATCCCTACCTCTTCCCCACTTATTTTTTACGGTTGTTTTTCAAAAATAAAATTTACATATAGTGAAATGCACACAATTTTAACAGTTTATCTTGACCGATAGATATACTCATGTAACCCACAGCCCTATCATGATATGGAATGTTTTCATCACTCCAAAAATGTCATTTGCCTGACAACTCCTCAACTAGGCAACAATTGTTCTGATTTTTCACTGTGGATTAGTTTTGCTTGTCCCAGTGTGCCATATCAATGGAATCCTACAGTACGACTCTTTTGTGTCTGGGCTCTTTCACTCAGCATAATGTCTGTGAGAGTCATCCATGCTCTTGCGTGTACCCGTTATTTCTCTTTTATTGCTGTCCTCCTTCTATTGTACAGATGGGCCACAGCCATTCTCCAGTTGATGGGGATTTGGATTGTTTCCAGTTAGGGGCCGTTCTGAATAAAGTTGAGCATGAGTTGAACTTCATGTTCAAGTCTTTTTGTAGACATATGTTTACATTTCTCTTGTGTAAATACTTAGGAGTGGAATCGCTGGATCAAAGAATAGAGGCATGGTTAACTTCATTAGAAACTGCCAGATCTTTTTCCCAAAGTGATTCTCTTTGCATTCCTACCAGAAGTGCGAGAGAATTCTGTCTGCTCCGCATCCTCACCAGTATTTGGTGTTGTCAGTGTTTTTAATTTTAACTATTGTGGTGGTATCTCATTGTGGTTTTAATTTGTGTTTCCCTGATGACTAACAATGTTGACCATTTTTCTATGTGTGTATTGCCAATTTGTCTATCTTCCTTTGTGAAGTGTCTATTCAAGTCTTTTGCCAAATTTTCATTGGGTTTGTCTTTTTATTATTGGACTGTAGGTGTCTTTTATTCTGGATACAAATTCTTTGCGTCTGTATAATTTAGGAATATTTTCTGCTGTTCTGTGACTTGCCTATTTTCTTAACAGTGTCTTCTAATGAGAAGCTTTATATTTGGTGAAGTCTGATTTCTTATTTTGTGTCTTTTATTATTATTTCTTCCTGGCTCTCATCTAAGAAAACTTTGCCTTCCCCTGGTTACAAAGATGGTCCCCTTGTTTACTTCCAGTAGCTTTATATAGATTTTAAATTTGCATTTAGGTCTAAGATGCATCTCAAGTTCGTGTGTGTGTGTGTGTGTGTGTGTGTGTGTGTGTGTGTGTGTGTGTAGTGTAGTGTAATGTAATATAGGGACTGAAATGCATTTTTACTTTCTTTTTCTATTTATATATTTTTAAGTAGAGATGGGAATCTCCCTGTGTTGCCCAGGCTGGTCTCCAACTCCTGGCTTTAGACAATCCTCCTGCCTCAGCATCCCAGTGTGCTGGGATCACAGCTGTGAGCCACCACACACAACTGCAATTTTTTTTCTTTATAAATATCTAGTTGTTCCTGCACCATTGGATGGAAATGTTTTCCATTTCTGTGCTGAATTGTTTTGGGACCTCTACTGAAAATCAATTGAGACGCAGTCTTATTAAACACAGTCTTATTCTAGCTTTGTTTTTCTTTTGCAAGGTTAATTTGGCTATGCTAGGACCTTTGCATATCCATATGTACCAGTTGTCAATTTATTGCCTCTCAGATCCAAATTCACCCTTCATTACCTGCTGAGCAATAACCAACTGCACGCTTTAGGCATTTCTCCTTAAAGTGAACACAATGTCATTTTTGTCACTAGAGGGCACTGGAGGGACATTGCAAAGGCAGGCCGCTTCTCTTCCTGATGTCCTTTGCTATGTTTTGCTTTTTCTTGTTTTCAGACTGTACATTCTGCTGCACGTGGTATGTGGGGGGGACACACACTAACCGTGTGCCCAGAGCACATAGTCTCTCAGTGACCTCACAGCTCTGGCCAAGGGCCTGGTGACCACTTTGTCACAGCCCTCCTGATGCAGACATTACACACTCCAGGCTTCATACCTACTCCTGTTCCCTCTCCCAACGCACACCTGCCCTCTGGCCGCAGCTTGCCTGAGCCCTGGAAGGTTGATTTCCTTGGCCCCCTCCATGGTCTCCCATCCAGCAGCGCGGGTGCTCAGGAAGGTCATGCCTGGTGCCTGCCCAGTGACCGAACCAGCTCTGGCCCTGGTATCCTGGTGAGATTCTTTGCCATCCAATGGGCTGTAGCCACACCTTCTCCAGTGACATCTGAAGCCCATCCTTGGAGAGGAACACTCCAAGTTTGTCCTTCCTTAAATATTCCTCTGTAGCAAGAATTTCCCTTTCTGGCCCAAACTCCTCACCACCCATGTGAGAATTACAAAGTGAGTTTACACAATTAACACTTATTGAAATAAAGAAAAATTAATTTTAAAAAAAGAAAAAATTCAAGCTTGACTAATCAACATAAAGGAAACATTAATTTAAAAAAAACATTTATTGAGTCCATGGTTGTCAGGAAAGCAAGTCTGGGTATGTTGTCTAGGTTCATTTTCTGGCTGCGTCTTTTGGCAGATTTTGGGCGTGGCTTATGACATTCCTATGCCTCAGTTTTCTCATCTGTAGAATGGGCATCATAATAGTATTTCATAGGGTCAGAATGAAGATCAAATGAAACAGTATAAGTCAAGTGTTTAGAATAGTACCTAGCAGTAAATACTTGGTTCCTATCAGCTGCTGCTATTCCTATTTTTTATGATTATGATCTTGTATCCCCAACCATATTGTAAACTCTAAGTGAAGACGGCATAATTTAATGCTGGCTCTCTACTATCCCAGGGTTTAGCATCTTGTTATTTCCATGCATTAGACGTGTAATAGATATTACCAAATAGATGAGCTGCTGAAGAATGTTCTATTTCCCGTAGAAAGAAGACGTGAGGAGGAAACACATCCGTCTGCACATGGAAGGGGCGCTGACTGCCCGGGACAAGGTCGGGGTTCAGGATTTTGTGCTATTGGACGCGTACACCAGCGAATCTGCCTTTGTCGACAACCTCCGCAAGCGTTTCAGCGAGAACCTCATATACGTAACGTGACCCACTTCTCAGCTGTTTTTCTAGGGTGGTTGTTCCCTTCTTGCCTTCACGACTTTGATGAGTGTGAATAATAGCACTCTATTAGGTTAGACATTAAAGGGAGATACTGAGGCGCCACTCTTAGATGCACTTCGATCCTTTGTGCTAAGACGTTTATGGCTGCCCGTGACAGAGACCCAACTTACACCAGCCTAAGTCACTAAAAGGAATCTGTCCATGTCTGTTACTGTAGGTCCCGGGACTAGATCTAGGGTTTCAGACAATGTCTGGCAACTCCTTCTCAATCTCTGCTCTGCTTTCTTAGGCATCCATTTCTTTCTCAAGTGCATGGCAGCAAGATGGCTGCCCTCAGATCCAGGCTGTCATTTTATCAGCTCAGGGTTGCTGCAGAGAAGCGAGCCAATACTCTGGGGATAAGCTCTAGTAAATGGCCCAAGTTGACATTGATCAGCTCTGATTGGCCCACTTTCGGTCATGTGCCTGTCTCTGAACCAATCCCATGGCTAGAAATGAAGACTATTCTGATTGGCCAGGCTCTTACCAGGCCTGCCCCTGAAGGTGAGGGGTGGAGTTGGAGCCCTGGACGGTATAGGCAGAGAGCTGGGGAAGAGGGTTCCCCAAAGGACTCTGTTGGGAGAAAGGGGCAGAGATACCAAGCAGGCAAAAATAAGAGCTGTCCACCACACCCCACGAATGGTCAAGGGTCGAGAATGCAGCACTTACCAAACTCTTCTCAGATTGATCTTGTCACATCTAGTTTTTATTCAAAAGCTAGTTTTCGTTAAATTCCCATTTATCACCATACTCTGATTTGAGGGTCGTTTTTCAGGTAAATTCCTCTAGGGTAAACTTCATAGTGTCCCTGTGTGTGTCGTGGGTGTTATTAAAATTATTTAATTTTTTGAGATTTTATTAGCTTTTTGCTAAGAGTAAATTAGACAGAAGTGGTTTAAAAATAATTGTCTTATAGCTATTTTGTTTGTAATGCTGCTCGTGACTTAATCTATATGTTGAAACCAAGGATACCAGAAGAAGTAAACAAGGTGTTTCTTAGAGTACATATCCTAGAGCCTAACTTTCATAATTATCACCCTTAATTGTAGAAATAGAAAAACTAATTTTATGTACAGGAAAAGGAAAAAATAGCATGGTACAGAGAAGTACAAATGGCATGACAGGATCATTGCGATTAAGCTAAATGTTTCTGATTTGAACGGATACATTTCAGAAACTGTCTTCCACCCTGAATTTCTACTGATTGAAGTAATATGGGGTTTTATTGAAACTTCTCTGCTTTGGTTCTCTGTTTGATTTTTGTCCTGGAGATTGGAGAACGATTTTAGCGTAATCTTTTTTTCTTTTTTTTTTTTTTGAGTTGGGTCTTGCTAAGTTGCCCAGGCTAGTCTTGAACTCCTGGGTTCAAGCACTCCTCCTGCCTCAGCCTCCCACGTAGCTGGGATTACAGGCACACACCACCACACCCAGCTATTTTAGCATAATCTTAATATATACTTTAGTGCATCCTGTATTTGAAACAGCTACACACTGAGAATCTGAGAATACCAGATGTATTTTCCAAGGAGTATATTAATTTTTTTTCTATATAAGAGCTTGGAGCTCTTTGTTTATTCATAATTGTATTTCAAAAGCCTATGTTAGTGGTTATATTATAAATATAAGTAAGTACTTGAAAAACTTGAATATGAGTAGAATTTAATGTTGAAATCTAGGAATATAAGTGCCAGTAGCGGGAGTGTTTTGCCCAATTTTAGGAGGTTTGTAGGTATACCCATCCTGTTTTCTTGTTTGTTTGTTTTTTTTTTCTTTTTCATATGGAGTCTCACTCTGTCGCCCAGGCTGGGGTGCAGTGGCCCCGATCTTGGCTCACTGCAACCTCCGCCACCCGGGTTCAAGCAATTCTCCTGCCTCAGCCTCCCAAGTAGCTGGGATTACAGGCATCCGCCACCACGCCTGGCTAATTTTTTTGTATTTTTAGTAGAGATGGGGTTTCATCATGTTGGCCAGGCTGGTCTCAAACTCCTGACCTTGGGTGATCCACCTGCCTCAGCCTCCCAGAGTCCTGGGATTACTGTGCCCGGCCCACCCATCCTACTTTCACTCAATGCCAGAGAGACCTTTAAGAACCATAAATCAGGTTTACGTGCTCCCCTCTTAAAGTTGTCCATTCATGTGTAATAGTTTAGGGAGGTATTTCTCTTTTTTTGTATCTTCAACTTTTAACTTCAGGGGTACATGTGCAGGATGTGCAGGTTTGTTACATAGGTAAACGTGCTGTGGTGGTTTGCTGCACAGATCATCCCATCACCAAGGTATTAAGACCAGCATGCATTAGCTATTCTTCCTGATGCTCTCTGTCCCCCGCAACAAGCCCCAATGGGTGTTGTTCCCCCCTCTCCCACAAATGTGTCCATGTGTCCTCATCATTTAGTTCCCACTTATTAGCAAGAACACGCAGTGTTTGGTTTTCTGTTCCTGCATTAGTTTGCTGAGGATAATGGCTTCTAGCTACTTCCATGTCCCAGCAAAGGACATGATCTCGTTCCTTTTTATGGCTACATAGTATTCCATAGTGTATATGCACTATATTTTCTTCATTCAGTCTATCATTGATGGGCATTTGGGTTGATTCCATGTCTTTGATGTTGTGAATAGTGCCGCAGTGAACACACGTGTACATGTATCTTTATAATAGAATGATTTATATTTCTTTGGGATTGCTGGGTCAAATGGTATTTCTGCCTCTAGATCTTTGAGGAATCGCCACACTGTTTTCCACAATGGTTGAACTAATTTACACTCCCACCAACAGTGTAAAAGCCTTCCTTTTTCTCCACTGCCTTGCCAGCATCTGTTATTTTTTTACTTTTTAATAATCGCCATTCTGACTGGTGTGAGATGATATCTCATTGTGGTTTGGATTTGCATTTCTGTAATGATCGGTGGTGTTGAGCTTTTTTTCATATGATTGTTGGCTGCATGTATGTCTTCTTTTTGCGAAGTGTCTGTTTATTTTCCTTTGCCCACTTTTTAATGGGATTGTTTTTTCTTGTAAGTTTGTTTAAATTCCTTGTAGACTGGATATTAGACCTTTGTCAGGTGGATAGGTTGTAGAACTTTTCTCCCATTCTGTAGGTTGCCTGTTCACTCTGGTGATAGTTTCTTTTGCTGTGCAGAAGCTCTTTAGTTTAATTAGATCCCATTTGTCAATTTTTGCTTTTGTTACAATTGCTTTTGGCATTTTCATCATGAAATCTTTGTGGGGCAGGTATTTTATTTCAGTAGGGGAGTGTGGTATCTCTGCCATCCACTGCATTTAGAATAAAACCCCAATTCCTCGTGGGAGCCCACGGAGCCTGTATGATCTGAGCCTGCTCCATCTTCGACATCCTCTCTTGCTAGTCTCCATTCTGCCCTCACTCGGGCTTCAACCACAATGGCCTCTCATGCCCCTAGCCTGCCTCATGTATCCCTTCAGCCTGAAATGCCCTTCCTGCCTACTTTGTTTACAGCTGGCTCCTCATCCTTCAAGCTCTGCTCAGGTGTCACCTCCTTAAAGAAGTCTTCCCGGCCAGGCGCGGTGGCTCACACCTGTAATCCCAGCACTTTGGGAGGCCGAGGCAGGCAGATCGCCTGAGGTCAGGAGTTCAAGACCAGCCTGGCCAACATGGTGAAACTGCATCTCTACTAAAAATACAAAATTAGCTGGGGGTGGTGGCGCATGCCTGTAATCCCAGCTATGGGAGGCTGAGGAGAATCACTTGAACCTGGGAGGCAGAGGTTGCAATGAGCCGAGATCGAGCCACTGCACTCCAGCCTGGGCAGCAAAGTGAGACTCTGTCTCAAAAAAAAGAAGACGACTTCCCCATGCCTGCTAATATGGCCTGCCTTTATTGTTTGTACCCTCGTTATGCTATGTATACCTTTCTTTTTATTTATTTATTTAGTTAGTTTTTTGAGTCAGAGTCTCGCTCTGTCACCCAGGCTGGAGTGCAGTGGCTGATCTCGGCTCACTGCAACCTCCGCCTCCTGGGTTCAAGAGATTCTCCTGCCTCCGCCTCCCGAGTAACTGGGACTACAGGCATGCACCATCACACCTGGCTAATTTTTTGTATTTTTAGTAGAGATGGGGTTTTACCATGTTAGCCAGGATGGTCTCGATCTCCTGACCTGTGATCCACCCGCCTCGGCCTCCCAAAGTGCTGGGATTACAGGCATGATCCACCGCGCCCGGCCATGTACACCTTTCTTAACACTGATCTCTTCCTGCAGCTGTCTTCATTCCTCAGCTGTTTGTCTGCTGTCTCCCTCATACACCTGCCATGTAAGCTCCCAGCAGAGACCCCGCCTGATTTATCATTTTAAATCCTCCATGTGGAATGAACACATGGGGATCATCATGTGTGACAGTCTTTTGCACCCCAGAATTCCTCACTTGTGCTTTGGTCCATTTCTCTAGACATATATTGGCACCCTCCTTGTGTCTGTGAATCCATACCAGGAGCTCGGAATCTACACTGTGAGCCAGATGGAACTTTATCAAGGGGTCAATTTCTTTGAACTGCCACCACATGTGTAAGTAGCATCCACAGGATCATCACTAGGAGGATTTTTCTTTTTCCCCTTCCTCTCTCTCCTTCCTTCTCACCACGCATCTGTCCATCCATTCATCCATCCATCCATCCATCCATCCATCCATCCATCCGCCCACCCATCCATTCATCCACCTATCCATCCACCTATCTATCCATCCATCCACATATCCATCCATCCGCCTATCCATCCATCCATTTACCTATCCATCCACCTACCTATCCATCGATACATCCATCCATCCATCCATCTAAATCCTTGATGCATGTTTATTAGGTTCTGTACCTCATTTAAGCCCTTGCCTTCTTGTGAAGTAAGTATTCCAAAGTAGTAGAAAACTTTAGAGGGTCTTTATGGAATCTCAGCTTAAATATGAAAAGAGGTGCAACCTGTGTGTAACTGCTGAGAAATTTAAGTGTGGCTGGAGAGATGTCTTCTCCGGGAAGAGGGTTGCTATAGTGCCATCTACTGGTGCCTGAGTGTCATAGCGGCTAAGAGGACTGCTCGTTGGTAGAAACTTCCCAGGGCTGTGGAAGCTTAAGAGGTGCAAATTTCTTCATTCCTCTCCCCTATGTATAACCTATGGTAATAATAATTTGTAGATGGTGATTATATTTTTAGTACATAACATTTTCTGTTTTATGCAAGTTTTTGAAAATACATACTCGCCTGCAGTATGGCCAGAATTTGTTTTTATGTAATACTATAAGCTGACAGGGTAGAATTATTCACCTGAACTCAGATCTCTTGTCTCCAAACACCATGTTTCCTTCTTAACATGTAACTGACTCTGTAAAAACAATCTGTTTAGATTTCTCATTTAATTCAGAAGTTAATTAAAAGGGACTGAAATAAAAATTTGCATGTAGTTAGAGATTACTGGTTAGTTACACATTAATTCAGAGTTTCTAGAGCCATTTCACAGAAGCTAGAAAATATAACCACCTTGATATCAGTTTTCACAAACTTGAGTACGTTTTTAGGCCTTAAAACCTTACCATTTTAAATAATTTCCCTTGTATTTGAAAATAACATATAACCCATATTTTCTGCTAAATAATGCCATTTGTTTGTCACTATGCCTGATTGGCCAAATGTTCTAATAGTTATTTAACATTCAAAACAATGACTACCAAAAAAAAAAAAGGAAACTTGAGCAATTTTTTCTTGCCCAGGCTTTGCTGAATTTTCTAGTTTTTCTCCCTCTTGACTTCTAGGCTAATATTTAGATTCTGCCTCTGTTGTCTTGGTGACTCAGCTATTCCACTTTCTAAGTCACTTATAAGCCTTTCTGCATCACCACCATATATATGTTGAGACAGGGTCTCGCTTTGTCACCCAGACTGGAGAGCAGTGACACAGTAATGGATCACTGCAGCCTCCACCTCCCAGAGCTCAGGTGATCCTCCAACCTCAGCCTCCTAAGTAGCCAGGACTACAGGTACACACCACCACCCTGGCTAATTTTTGTAATTTTTATAGAGACAGGGTCTCAGTGTGTTGCCCATGCTGGTCTCGAACTCCTGGGGCTCAAGCGATCTGCCTGCCTCAGCCTCCGAAAGTGCTGGGATTACAGGGTGTGAGCCACCATGCCCAGCCACCACCATGTATTAAAAGCCGAAATGGCTTTGGAACTCTGCCTCGTATTCAGGTTATATTCCTGGGATACCTTCATGCTTTGGTGTCTGATCTTGAAGATAAAGCACTTCTCATAGTTTTACCTCTTGTCCTAAAGATATCACTGAAGTTTGTTAATCTCTTTGGTTTCCTGCCACTCCATTTTTAGTATTCTAGGTTTTGAGGGAAAAAATACATGAGATCTTACTCTATTTATTGAATTGAATTATTTAGTATTTAGACAAGATTGTTATTTTCATCTAGAGTTAATAGAACGTCTCTTGGAGATGTAACTTAGTAGCTGGCTTATTCTTATAAAACATGTTGATGGATTAAAAACATAAATTTGGTGAACTTTAAAAAATATTTTCAGGCCAGGCGCGGTGGCTCACACCTGTAATCCCAGCACTTTGGGAGGCTGAGGCAGGTGGATCACGAGGTCAGGAGTTCCAGACCAGCCTGATCAACATGGTGAAACCCCGTCTCTACTAAAAATAAAAAAATTAGCCAGGCGTGGTAGTGCTGCACTTATAATCCCAGCTACTCGGGAGACCGTGGCATGAGAATCGCTTGAACTTGGGAGGCAGAGGTTGCAATGAGCTCAGATCGTGCTACTGCACTCTGGCCTGGGCGACAGAGCGAGACTCCATCTCAAAAAAAAAAAAAAATTCTCAAATTCTTCCTTTTAGCTCTTCTACTATTTGAGTTTTGATATCTAGTACACTCTATATTTGATTAGTCAGTGGGTCGTGGTAGAGGATTTTTTGTTTTTTTGTTTTTCGGGTTTGGGTTTTTTTGTTTTGTTTTTTGTTGGTTTGTTTTGTTGTTGTTGATGTTGTTGTTGTTGTTGTTTTTGAGACAGAGTCTTGCTGTGTTGCCCAGCCTGGAGTGCAATGGCATAATCTCGGCTCACTGCAACTTCTGCCTCCCGGGTTCAAGCAATTCTCCTGCCTCAGCCTCCCGAGTAGCTGGGATTACAAGCATGCACCACCATACCTGGCTAATTTTTGTATCTTTTTTTAGTACAGAAGGGATTTCATCATGTTGGCCAGGCTAGTCTCGAACTCCTGACCTCAAGTGATCCACCCGCCTCAGCTTCCCAGAGTGCTGGGATTACAAGCATGAGCCACTGTGCCCCGCCTATGGAAAGGGTTTGATATGTGTTTGAGCTCATTGTCCTTGTACCACAGTCTGGATGTGGCTTCCTGGAGATGGAGCACCTCATTTTTCTTCTTTGGTGGGTGTCAGAGTCAAGGGAAGTACCATTAAAACGAATTTGTTTCCGTCTCACTCCTCCTCCAGCTACGCTATAGCCGACAACGCTTACCGAATGATGTGTGCTGAACTAAATAACCATTTCATCCTCATTTCTGGAGAGAGTGGGGCAGGGAAAACAGAGGCCTCCAAGAAAATTCTCGAGTATTTTGCAGTGACCTGCCCAATGACCCAGTCACTACAAATAGCCCGTGACAGACTGCTGTTCTCCAACCCAGTGCTGGAGGTAAGCGATCTCTGGGGACCAATCGAAGGGAGTTCCAGGGAGGTCACTAAGTGAGACAAATCCTGTCTGGGCAGGTCAGTCAAAATGGGCAGGTCACTGTTAAGAAAAGAGGTCACACAGATAGTGTCACAGTTAAGGGTGTGACCTGGAACTAAGCCCATTTCCCCATTTGTTGAATGGGTCTGCTTATAGTACCTACCTTTTAAGACATTTGGTTTTTGTTTTGGTTTCGTTTTTTTTTTTTTTTTTTTTTTTTTTTTTTGAGACGGAGTCTCTCTCCGTCACCCAGGCCTGGAGTACAGTGGCACAATCTCGGCTCACAGAAACCTCCGCCTCCTGAGTTTAAGCAATTCTCCTGCTTCAGCTTCCCAAGTAGCTGGCACTATAGGCACGTACCATCATTCCCAGCTAATTTTTGCATTTTTAGTAGAGACGGGGTTTCGCCATGTTGGCCAGGCTAGTCTGGAACTCCTGACCTCAGGTGACCTTCCCTGCATCAGCCTCCCAAAGTGCTGTAATTACAGGCGTGAGCCACCACACCCAGCCTAAGAAGTTTTGAGGCTTAAGTGAAACAGATGCACAAAAAACACACAGCAGAATTAGGAAGCACCAAAAATAATGTATTATTTATTAATAGTTTTCTTATTATTGAGTTAAAATTATTTTGGTTATGATTACTTCCACTATTGCAATTCACTGACTTGCTGAACAAGTCATTTTCTCCTGTGTTTTTGTGGCCCTTTCTATAAATGAAGATGTTTATAGTTGAAGGAATTTTCCCAGTGGACCCTTTGAGCAGAGCAACGGTGGTATAAAAAGGGGTCTGGTGATGGGGGCTGTCCACTGTACCTTCTAGAACAGCATGGGGCTAGGGTTCTATGTACCCCTCCTGAGACCATTTCCAATATATTCCTAATTGGATTCTAGGAAGAAGATATTGTTCCCCTTTTCTCCCCGGGTCCAGATCTAGTGTTTGGCATTAAATTCTCTGTAGTTAGCGATTCCTTCTTAGAAGATAAAGCATGCCTTTCCTCCCTGGCTCCTTCCGCTCTCTCTCCTCCATTTTTGTAATAAGTGTATTATTTGGGGTCAGGAATTTGATACGCATGGTGAGCTTAAATGACAGTGAATGACACTTTGTATTCCAAGGCTTTTGGAAATGCCAGAACGCTCCGGAATGACAACTCCAGCAGATTTGGGAAATACATGGATATACAATTTGATTTTCAGGTACACTGAAGCTCCTATTACTGGTTCATGGGGACCCCTTATTTTGCCAGTGACGGAACCCAAGCCAAGGCCCCTTAAGGGGAGAACGGCATTTTTTGGCTCAAGCTATTTAAAAAAATATCCAGGGTTAGTGCTGGTTTTAGGAAATGCAAATTAAGACCACAATGAGATAACATTTTATACCATCTGGATGGGCAAAAACTAAAAAGTCTGATCTATACCAGGTGTTGATGAAGATATGGATCATAAGGAATTCTTACACATTGCTGGTGGGGTGTAAAATATTGGAAAATTATTGGAAAATAATGGGTTGTACCAGAGATATGATGCTATCTTAAGAAGCTGAAAAAACATAATGTAAGGTGCAACCATTCCGCTCCCAGAGATATCGCTACAGATGCGTAAGCATGTCCATAAGAGCACTGCTCATCATGAGCAAGTAAACGGACTGAACAGCACCAACACATCTGGGGAGAACTGAAATGTCCATCGACAGGAGAACGACTACACTGTGGTGTGTTCACACCAACAGGCATTACACTGCAGAGAGCAAATGAACCACAGCTACACCTCATGTGGATGGGTCTTGGGAACATACTGTATGCCAGCATGATATCATTTTTTCCATTAAGCTTAAAAACAAATCACAAGGGCCGGATGCAGTGGCTCATGCCTGTAATCCCAGCAATTTGAGAGGCCAAGGTGGGTGGATTACCTGAGGTCAGGAGTTCAAGACCAGCCTGGTCAACATTGTGAAACCCCATCTCTAAAAAAAAAAATACAAAAAATTAGCCATGCATGGTGGTGTGCGACTGTAATCCCAGCTACTCGGAAGGCTGAGGCAGGAGAATTGCTTGAACCTGGGAGGTGGAGGTTGCAGTTGGCACCACTGCACTCCAGCCCGGGCAACAAGAGCGAAACTTCCTCTCAAAAAAAAAAAAAAAAAAAAAAAAGACACAAGTAAACAATATATTGTTTAGGCATGCCTGCTTACCTGGCAGGGGCCAGCACTCTTTTTCGGATACAGCCAGATAGTAAGTATTTTAGGCTTTGTGAGCCATTCAGCCATACAGTCGCAATGACCCAAGTCCAGTCTTGTAGCATGAAAGCAGCCATGGACAATGCGTAAGTGAATGAGCGTAGCTGTGTTAGACACAGAAGTGGGGCTAAGGCAAGCAGGAAAGGAAGGCAGAATTCTCAAGGGCTCATAATTCCAAGCGGTAAAATGACACATGGGGGAGCAGCAGCTGTATGAGCACGGAGCTCAATGTTCAGGACAAACTGGCTAAAGGATTTCCCAGAGGCTGGGATGTGGGCCTCTGGTGGAGTGGATTTGGAAAGAAATTTAATAGCTATGCATATTTGAAAATTTTTTTGAAACTTCAACACATATACTGAAAAGGCCGTAAAACATGAGGATAGCCCAGTGAATTTCTACGTATGTGTCCACCTCTGTAACCACCACCCAGATCAAGACATAAAAATTTCTAGCATCCAGGCCAGGCCTGGTGGCTCGCACCTGTAATCCCAGCACTTTGGGAGGCCGAGGTGGGCAGATCACCCGAGGTCAGGAGTTCGAGACCAGCCTGGCCAACATGGTGAAACCCTGTCTCTAATAAAAATATGAAAATTAGCCGAGTGTGGTGGCGCACACCTGTAGTCCCAGCTACTCAGGAGGCTGAGGCATGAGAAACACTTGAACTTGGGAGGCAGAGGTTGCAGTGAGCCCAGATTGTGCCACTGCACTCCAGCCTGAGCAAGAGAGTGAGACTCTGTCTCAAAAAAAAAAAAAAAAAAAAAAAATGCTAGCATCTGAAGGCCAGGCATGGTGACTCACACCTGTAATCCCAGCACTTTGGGAGGTCGAGGTGAGAGGATTGCTTGAGTCTAGGAGTTCAAGACCAGCCTGGGCAACATAGTGAGACCCCCGTCTTTACAAAAAACAAAAACAAAATAGTAAGGCGCAGTGGTGCATGCCTATAGTCCCAGTTACTTGGGAGGCTGAGGTGGGAGAATTGCTTGAGCCCAGGCATTTGAGGTTATAGTGAGCCATGATCAGGCCACAGCATTCCAGCCTGGGCAACAAAGCAAGACCCTATCTCTTAAAAATTCTAAAATCCAAAAGCTTTTCCTGCCCTTCCCCAACACACTCCCCCTTCCCACTGCCCACTGTTCTGACCTCTGTGATCACAGGTTCATTTCACTGGTCATTGAAGTGCATATGAATGAAATTACACAGTATGTTCTATTTTGTGCCTGGCTTCTTTCAATCAACGTATCTGTCAGATTCATCCATGTCCTTGCATGTAGCAGTTGTTCACTTTTTGATTATATGACTATGTCACAACTTATCTGTTCTACTTTTGATGGACATTTGGGCTGTTTGCAATTTAGGACCGTGACATATAGCACTTTGAACATCCTTGCACATGCCCTTTAGTAGATTTACATTGGATTAAAGAAGTGGAATTGTGGGGTTCTTACCAGCAAAGCAGTGTTAGGATAATTAATGATGGTTCCGGTTGCTCCATACCCTTGCCAACATTTATATTCTTCATCCTTTTGAGAAATTCTGGTGGGATATAGTGGTTTTTCACTGTGATTTAAGTTTGTATCTCCCTGGTGATGAATGACATTTTGCTTCTTGGCCACTTAAAGGCTTTCTTTTTCATTCAAGTCTTTTGCCCGTTTTTAATTGGGTTGTCAATTCTTTCCTATTGATTTGCAAGAATCTTTATATATTCTGGAATAAAAATCCTTTATTGGATATATTATTGAAAATATTAATTAAGACAGTGTGATATTGACACAAGGATAGATAAAGAAGACAATGGATCAGAATAAAGTCCAGAAAGGATAGAGTTCACATGTACAGTCAGCTGATTTACAACGAAACCATCACTATGATTCAGTAGAGAAAAGATCATCTTTCCAATAAATGGCACAGATCAACTGGATATCAACATGAATAAAAAGACCTTTGACCACTACCCCTCTGCATATACAAAAATTAAATAGTGAGGGATCATTATCCTAAACAATCATGCTTCTAGAAAAAGACATAGAAACTATCTTCATGATAGTTTCTTGGGGTAAGCAAAAATTTTTGTAAACAGAACCCAGGAAATACTAATGACAGAAGATTGATATGTCCAAAAAAAAGAAAGAAGATTGATCAGATCAGACTTCATTCAAACTTAGAACTTCGGGCCATCAGGAGATGCCAGGAAGAGAGTGGTTTGATTGTTGTCACTGCTGCAATTTTTGTTCTGTTTTGAAGGGCATTCCCGTAGGTGGGCATATCATCAGTTACTTGATAGAGAAGTCCCGAGTTGTCTACCAAAACGAAGGCGAGCGGAATTTCCACATCTTCTACCAGCTGCTGGCAGGTGGCGAAGAGGAGCGCCTGTCTTACCTGGGACTCGAGCGAGACCCCCAGCTGTATAAATACCTCTCACAGGTGGGAAGGACCAGCACCTGGCTTTGGTGACTCTTTGGAGCAGGGGATCAGAGATGTTTCTACGTGCTGCTGTAGGATGTTTGAGACATTCTATTACCATCCTGCTATGTGTCCTATTGGCTGATTTCTCCATATATATATCACAAGCAATCTAATCCATCTCCTCTTATGCCTGGCAGCTATATCACCTTGGTAAAGTAACCAATGTCTAGGTAAGTGGTTCTCATCCCTGGCTGAAACTAGAATCACCTGAAGAGCCCTTTAAAAACACAAATGCCTGGGCCATACCCTCCAGAGATTCAGATTTCATTGGTCTGGGTAGGACCTGGGCATCAGAATTATTTTAAATGTCCTCCTGGTGATTTAGCGTACAGCCAAAGTGAGGAGCGCTGATCTGGATGTGATAGAAACTCACTGTCCAACTATGCCCCAAACCTATGCTATCTCATTCTGCTTTCAAACTACCTTTTTTTTTTTCTTTTTTTGGGACAGGTTCTCACTCTGTCCTCCAGGCTGGAGTGCAGTAGCATAATAATGGCTCATTGCAGCCTTGACCTCCTGGGCTCAAGTGATCCTCCCATCTCAGCCTCCCAAGTAGCTAGGACTACAGGCGCGAGGTACCATGCCTCGCTAATTTTTGTAGTTTTTGTAGAGACAGTGTTTCTCCATGTTGTCCAGGCTGGTCTCAAACTCCTGAGCTAGAGAGATCCGCCTGCCTCAGCCTCCCAAAGTGCTGAGTTTACAGGCACGAGCCACTGTGAACTACTTTTGAAAAGATCTTTTCCCGCATTCCTGCCTTCCACCTTGACAAATGTTTGCTGCCAAATGAACACACCACCTTACAGAAATAGTTCAAGCTATTCCTATAAACAAGCCTAGAGTCTAGTGTTATAAAATTGACTGTCAGAATATAACCCTGCAATATTTGTTTTTCTGCAGCCTGCACTAGCGTCCTACAATGCCCAGATTGTAAGGCACGTCTCAGCATTTGATGTCATTAACACCTTTTTAGTCCCAACATTTTTTTTATTTTTCTCTTCTCACTTGGCCTGGCTTTGAATGGAGGCCACCTTGTAGAATGTAGATGAAGGCATCATTTAAGAGAGAAAATGAGGTCTTATAAAATGAATCTCATAAAATGAGGATCAACACTTTCTAGAAATCATGGAAGAAAAGAAGCCTTGACAAAAGTTCACCTTGAAAAATGAAGGCAGGCTGGGGCACGGTGGCTCACACCTGTATCCCAACACTTTGGGAGGCCAAGGCAGGAGGATCGCTTGAGTCCAGGAATTTAAGACCGGCCTGGGCAATGTAGCAAGACCCCATCTCTAAATGTATTTTAAAAATAGAAATAAGAAAAATGAAGGTAAATAGTGAAAAGAAAGAATCTCATAATCTAATTTTATACTAAGCAAACTCAACTAATTACTAGAACAAAGAATAAATCAAATGTGATGTTTTTTTCTTTTTGGAGGGCTTAATTTTCCCAACAAAGCTGTATGGTCGCATCATGATTGTATTCCCATAGCATGACCAGAAAGGGTCAATTTGTAAAAATATTTGAGGCCTCATCCATTTTCCCAAGGGCTTCTCTAACCCTTTGATAAATCCTTCTCTTTTAGAATATATCGTGTCTTTATTCCTGTAGATTTTTTTATGGCCACATTAATTCAACTAGATCTTTATACATCAGGGGCTTTGGAAATGGGTCTAGCAATTTGCCACTATTATTTTAAAACCAATTTCATGATCTCTCATAACTTTGGTAAACTTTATGGCTTCACTCTGCAGTATATTCGCACTGCTTTCAAACCAACAGGTTTTGGAGAGGGACTGATTTGCATAAACCCATCCCTTCAGGGACAGGAGCAGATGTTGCTGGTTGTGCGGGAAGGTTTGTGAGGCTGCAAATTTTATATCGGCCACTTTAAGTTTTAGGGTACATGTGCACAACGTGCAGGTTAGTTACATATGTAAAAAAAAATTTTTATATCGGTCACTTCACTAGGAAATATTTTCATGGTATGACACATCTGATTTCCCCCATGCAATGAAGAAATCTTTTAAGAAAACAGATCTTCAGATAATTAGGAAACTAGGAACACCCTGTACCACAAAAGCAAAATAATACAAAACATTTGTCTAGAATGTTTTCTCTTTAAATCAGTCTGTTATTTAAAAGACAACTTCTGGAGTTCATGGGGAAAATCTCTGCTTGTGATCATTTTCACAAAACCTCTGTTTCTCTAAATGCTAGCCTTTTATTTCCTTGCAGGAAAGGCTTCTTTCATCTAGTCCTGCAGTGAAATTTTTGTTGGCAATCTCTAAGTGAGTCAGGAGTTTCTGATTTTAAGCACTTTAATATTCCTGCATATTTCAGCAGATATTTCTTGAGACAAACAGCTTCAATTTATTTAGCAAAAATGATAAGAAAACTATGTTTAAAAACACATACAAAAAGATACACCACTTACATGTAACTTGGAATGTTTTCCCAGAACAGAGATTTTTAAACAAAATTCCAAATAAATTTGAAAAAAAGCAACAGTTGTCAGATCATTACATGCTAGACAATTAGAGTAAAACCTATTTTTGATTCGCAATTCAGTACATTATATAGGACTAGCTTTTGCATCTTCAGAGAGGAATAGACATGCTTAATTGCCCCTATAAAAATGACATTAAGTGACTCAAACTTTTTGTCAACAGGGTCATTGTGCCAAAGAGTCATCCATTAGTGACAAGAATGACTGGAAAACTGTTTCCAACGCCTTTTCTGTCATTGATTTTACTGAAGCTGACCTCGAGGTACGTGCTTTTGCAGCAGAACTGATAGTTCCCCCTGGGACTGAGGAAACATTCCTAATTTCTTGGTGTTTGCAGAATACAGTGGCCAAATTCAACAAATAAAAATACAGGATGCAGCTGGGTGTGGTGGCGCACACCTGTAATTCCAGCATTTTGGGAGGACAAGGCGGGCGGATCACTTGAGGTCAGGAGTTTAAGACCAGCCTGGCCAACATGGTGAAACCCTGTCTGTACTAAAAAAAAGTACAAAAATTAACCAGGCGCGGTGGCAGGCACCTGTAATCCCAGCTACTCCGGAGACGGAGGCAGGAGAATCGCTTGAATCCGGGAGATGGAGGTTGCAATGAGCCGAGATTGTGCCACTGCACTCCAGCCTGGGTGACAGAGCGAGACTGCGTCTCAAAAAAACAAAACCAAAAGCAAAAATACAGGATGCCCAGTTACATATGAATTTCAGATAAACAGTGAAGAATTTTTTAGTATAATCATGTTCCAATTATTGCATGTGGGCAAACTTATACTAAAAAATTAATGTAAGTTTGAAATTCAAATATTAACTGTGGGTTCTTTTATCTGGCAACTCTAAGTTTTCCTAATATTGTGTGCAAGGAGGAAGAGTCAGTTTTTTTTCTCCTGTAAAGTAAGTCCAGTCTCAACAATTTAGGTGCCATAGAATTACAAGATTCTCATTTATTGAGGCTTCTGTTTTGGTACAAACTAGAACAAATTGTAGAATTTATAAACAATTTGTTTTTACATCTTTTTGTCTTTTTTTTTTTTTTCATTTTGATTGTTAAACTATCAGTCTTTCAAGGGCCAGAATGTAATTTAAAAACAGCTGTATTTGAAGCCAGGTGCAGTGGCTCACACCTGTAATCCTGATGCTTTGGGAGGCTGAGGTGGAGAAATCACTTGAGGCTAGCAGTTTGAGACTAGCCTGGGGAACATAGTGAGACCCTGCCTCTACAAAAAAATTTTAAAAATTAGCTAGGCATGGTGGTGCATGCCTGTAGTCCCAGCCACTCAGGAGGCTGATGCGGGAGGATCGCTTGAGCCCAGGAGGTTGAGGCTGTAGTGAGCTATGATGGCACCATTGCACTCCAGCCTGGGTGACAGAGCAAGACCCTGTCTCTTAAAAAAAAAGATAGATGGATGGATAGATAGATAGATAATGTTATTTGAAAATTAAGTGCGTTCATTAGTGAGGTTTATTTTAGAAAGTATTTTATAAATTATTTTTTCCTCTTTTGAGACAGAGTCTTGCTCTGTCGCCAGGCAGGAGTACAATGGCGCTATCTTGGCTCACTGCAACCTCCGCCTCCCGGGTTCAAGCAATTCTACTGCCTCAGTCTCCCAAGTAGCTGGGACTACAGGCACATGCCACCGTGCCCAGCTAATTTTTGTGTTTTTAGTAGAGATGGGGTTTCACCATGTTGGCCAGATGGTCTCGATCTCTTGACTTCGGGTGATCTGCCCACCTCGGCCTCCCAAAGTGCTGGGATTACAGGCGTGAGCCACCGCGCCCGGCCATAAAATATTTTATAAAAGTGTTTTATTTTATGAAAAATCCATTTATGTATTTGTTGTTGTTATATGAAAATAAAGTGTTTCCTGCTGGACACTGAATGAGGCTGTTTCCCTCTTCCCTTAGCACCTGAAGTGAATAACAGGGCTGATTTCTGAGGAAGCAGGAGGGCTTGGTTCTGTGGGCTCAGGTGTGGAATTGGGACGGGGGCATTTTTCCTTCAGGTGTCTCCACTAATGACATGTATCAATTAGGCGGCCACCGTTCTCTTTCCCTGTCCTGATCTCCTGTCTCTGAACACTTCCCATGTTCCTAGAATCTCTTTGGAATTATTGCCAGTGTCTTACACCTGGGGAACATTGGTTTTGAAGAAGACGACCAAGGCTGTGCCACTATCCCAGACACCCATGAGATCAAGTGGATAGCCAAGGTGATGCTCCTCTTTTGGAGAGGACAGAAGGAGGGGGATGGGTGGGAGAGAAGAGCGAGGTAGCTGGGTGCCCACAGTTAGGCCCAAATATCTGGTGCCGTGCTGTTTTGGCTGATATTGGTTAGGAGGTTTAAAGAGTGGGGGTTTGAAGGAGAGGGCAGGAGTAAAAGCCAGTTGGTTGAGGGAGCTATTGTGGCCTGTTTTGTAATAACGCACAATGATCAGTCTGGGCAGATAACCCTGGGCCTGGATACTCTATGAACTCTTTATAAGTTAGTGAGTAGGCCGGGCGCAATGGCTCATGCCTGTGATCCCAGTGCTTTGGGAGGCCAAGGCAGGAGGATCGCTTGAGGCCAGAAATTCAAGGCTGCAGTGAGCCATGATCATGCCACTGCACTCCAGCCTGGGCAACATAGTGAGACCCTATCTCTTAAAAAAAAAAAAAAAAAAAAAAAAAAAAAAAAATTAGCTATGAATGGTGGCACACACCTGTAGTCCCAGCTACTCAGGAGGCTAAGGTAGGAGGATCACTTCAGCCCGGGAGGTGGAGGTTGCAGTGAGCTGAGATTGTGCCACTGCACTCCAGCCTGGATGACAGAGTGAGACCTTGTCTGAAAAAAAGTTACAATGAGCTATGATTGTGCCACCACATTCCCACCTGGGTAACAGAGCCATACCTTGTCTCTAAAAAAATAATAAAAAGCAAGTAAAACTGCGTCACTGAATAGCATTCTGGATTTCTTTTACATGCAGCTCCTGGGGGTCCACCCATCAGTCCTTCTGGAAGCTCTCACCCACAGAAAAATTGAAGCCAAAACTGAGGAGGTAAAAATGGCTATAGGTGGAAATGTGCCAGCCCTCCCTGCTGCTGCTGCCTCCCTCGATAACAGCAGGGTGGTGGCCTCAGGGGAGGCCAAACCTTTGATCCTAGCTCACCAGGCCCTGCGTGGTCCAGCTCCTGTGGAGTGTCCTGCCTCATCTTCCCCCATCACCATCACCACCACCACACCAATGCTAGCAATCCACACCTCATACTGTCTATGTCTTCCCTCCACAGGAGTCTTTGCACATGCTATTCCTTCTGCTGGAACACTGTTCCCGGTGCTTTATCTAGTTAACTCCTCTTCATCCTTCATTTCCTGGGGGTCACTTCCTCAAGGAGCCTTCTCTGATCCTCCCACCTCTACGTCAAAGCACCCTATGTATCTCTTGTAGCCCTTTCAACATGACTGTGATTCTTTGAATGTCTCTCCATCCCTCCCTACCCTCAAATGAACTGTGTGCCCATGAAGGTCAGGACTGTGTGTCTGGGTTACAGCTGTATCTCGGCAGCCCAGCACAGTGCCTGGCACACATGGGCACTCAAGAAAGAGCCATCATATGAACCAAAGACAAGAGTAGCATCTTCCCAGCATGTATCCTTTGCCAGTCATCATTAAACACTAGTTCAAGACTGTGTGTGGTGGCTTATACCTGTAATCACTTTAGGAGGCTGCAGTGGGAGGATTCCTTGAGCCCAGGAGTTCAAGACCAGCCTGGGCAACATGGCTAGACCACATTTCTACAAAAAAAAAAAAAAAAAAAAAAGCGAGGCATGGTGGTGGGCACCTGTAGTCCCAGCTACTGCATTCCAGGCTGGGCAGCAGAGCGAGACCCTGTCTCATTATTTTATTTTTTTTTTAAGAAAAAAGACTTCTTTGAACACTCTGGGGGCTTCTTTTTTCCACCTATAATGATGCACCTTGTCATTCTTTTCAGGTGATCTGCCCGTTGACACTAGAACTCTCTGTCTACGCTAGAGATGCAATGGCAAAGGCTGTTTATGGACGAACGTTTACTTGGCTGGTCAACAAAATCAATTCCTCCTTAGTTAACAAGGTTGGTCAACGCATTTTGGATCCCTTGCTCTTGCTCACGTGGTGATGTTTTATAATCATCGTTTCTTTAAAGAATTTGGGAGGGAGAATGAACTGTGGGCGCCTCATGGGCAGAGATGGTGTCTTTCCCTATTCACATTTCCCATGTCTAGCATACAGTATGGGTGCATGCCGAATGACTTATACAATGTGTTCCAAAGCGTGCTGTGCATAGTGCTTGTGGTATGCCAGATAGCTTCAAGTGTACACAGAAACTTTTTATTTTTTATTTTTATTTTTAGAGACAAGATCTTGCTCTGTCACTCAGGCTGGGGTGCAGTGGTGCAATCATAACTTGCAACTTCCAGCTTCTGGGCTTAAGCAATTCTCCTACCTCAGCCTCCCAAATAGCTGGAACTACAGTTGCATACCACCATGCCCTGCTAATTTTAAAAAAAAATTTTGTAGAGATGAGGTCTTGCTATGTTGTCCAGGCTGGTCTCAAACTCCCAGGCCCAAGCCATCTTCCCACTGCTGCCTTCCTAAGTGCTGGGATTACAGGCATGAACCACCACAAATCTTTAAATTTCAACAGTAATATATTCACCTGACATTTTAAAAATTTCAACAGAAGCATATTTTAACATATTTACGAAAAAATATAGCCCTTGAAACTCACGCTTCAGTCACGTTTCCTTTTCAAGTGGAATTATTTAAATAAAAAAGGGATTTAATCCAAGCTAAAAATTAAGAAATGATACATGGATGGGGAGGGGATATGTGGATGTGACAAAATTCATGGAGGTAGGACACAAAAGATGATTTTGGAGGCAGTGACTTAGGACACTCATACAGAGTATTTAATTGTGTCCCTTTAAAACTAAATAAATACATTATCTCTTTTTTATTTTTTTTTGAGACGGAGTCCCACTTTGTCGTTCAGGCTGAAGTGCAGTGGCACAATCTTGGCTCACTGCAGCCTCCACCTCTGGGGTTCAAGCGATTCTTGTGCCTCAAACTCCCAAGTAGTGGGATTACAGGTGCATGCCACCATGCCTGGCTAATTTTTGTAATTTTTTAGTAGAAATGGGGTTTCGCCATGTTGGCCAGGCTGGTCTCAAACTCCTGGCCACAAGTGATCCGCCTGCCTCAGCCTCCCAAAGTGCTGGGATTGCAGGCGTGAGCCACCACGCCTGGCCTGAAATAAATACATCATCTTTAAATACCCACCCTGGCCTGAGGGTACTTGGTCCTCTTACTTGGATAGGCATCTTCTTGTCTGTCTATAGGTCCTTTTCTCCATCTCCTTCTCCTTCTTCTTCTCCTTCTTCTTTTTCTTCTTCTTCTTCTTCTTCTTTTTTTTTTTTTTTTTTTTTTTTTTTTGATTGTACATGGGCTTGGGAGGCTGAGGACACCTGAACAAAGAAGTGAATCAGAAGGGGAAGGTCTGACTACACAGGTGATGGCTATGGAAGCTGCAGTGGGATCTGAGCAGGCAGGAGCAGCAGGCTGGGGAAATTACTTCCACCCAAAGATTTTCCGCATTGTTGGAGACAGAGGACATATGAGCTTTAGCGCCAAGTCCCAGTTTAGGGGAGCAGCAACAGTTTTGAGTAGCACAAAGGAAAAGACCTAACTATGAATGGGGTGTGTTATTTTGACCAGGATTTCACCAGGAAAACTGTAATTGGATTACTGGACATCTATGGGTTTGAAGTCTTTGACAAGAATGGGTATGTTTTGTCATTACCTACCTATCTGTCTTTTGCCCTTTTTTAAGATTTCAGTCGAGATTTAAATCTTTCGCTAATGTTACTAGATTGATTTCCCTGTCCCCAGAAAGTCTCTAGATTTACATAGTTTCTAACTCACAGACCATCCTAGATGTGGACTAACCATAAAAATGCAAATATATTTTCACTTGACTCTTATGATCTATTTAGTAAATTATTTTATTAATGAGGACTTTGCTTTTTCTTTATTAAAAAGTATGCCTAAAAAGAATATAATTTGTTTAAAAAAATTGTTCTCTTCATATAACTTTAGTTACTTAAATCTTTTGTATCTCTAGTTTTGAACAGTTCTGTATAAATTACTGCAATGAGAAACTCCAGCAACTGTTAATTGAGAGGACTCTAAAAGCAGAACAGGCAGAATATGAAATGGAAGGCATAGAGGTAAACATTTTGATGTTTTCTCCTCATCTGATTTCTTCATCTAGCTAAAGACTTCTTTTTTTAATTTAATTAATTTTTTTTTTATTTTTTTGAGACAAGATCTCACTCTGTCGCCCAGGCTGGAGTCCAGTGGCACAATCATGACTGGTTGCAACCTCCACCTCCTGGGCTCGAGTGATCCTCCTGCCTCAGCCTCCTAAGTAGCTGGGATCACAGGCACATGCCACCATGCCTGGCTAATTGTTTTACTTTTTGTAGAGACAGGGTCTCTCTATGTTGCCCAGGCTGGTCTCGAACTCCTGGACTCAAGTGATCTTCCTGCCTCAACCTCCCAAAGTACTGGGATTACAGGTGTGAGCCACTGTGCCCAACCACTAAAGACATTTAACTGAAGTATTATTTCATTGGAGATATTCCTGATTAGTACTGAGGATTAATTTTTAGGCCTTCTCTGCTTATTTCCTGGGAAATTATTTTGATATTCAGAAAATATAATTTGTTTAAGGTTGAATATAAAAACTAGATTTTGAAAAAAGATGTTTTAGAAAACCAATTTAAAACCAACTTTGATGCTCATCTAAATATTTCTTGGAGAATTCATTCCTCTTTGTCATTTTAGTGGGAGCCAATTAAATATTTCAACAACAAGATCATCTGTGATTTGGTAGAAGAGAGACATAAAGGAATCATATCTATTCTGGTGAGAAAAATGAATGTTGCATTAGAGCTATTCACCCGGCACTTACAACTCTTGGAAGAACTTTTTCCCAGGCTTAAAAAGGGTTGAGCCAGGCCAGGCACGGTGGCTCACGCCTGTAATTCCAACACTTTGGGAGGCCGAGGTGGGTGGATCACCTGAGGTCAGGAGTTAGAAAGCAGCCTGAACAGTATGGTGTAACCCTGTCTCTACTAAAAATACAAAAATTAGCCGGGCATGATGGCATGCGCCTGTAGTCCCAGCTACTTGGGAGGCTGAAACAGGAGAATTGCTTGAACCCCGGAGGCAGAGGTTGCAGTGAGCTGAGATCATACCACTGCGCTCCAGCCTGGGCGACAGAGGGAGACTCCATCTCAAAAAATAAAAATAAAAATAAAAAAAGGGTTGAGCCAGGGTGGTCTCTAACTCCTGGGCTCAAGCAGTCCTCCCACATCAGCCTCCTGAGTAGCTGGGACTACAAAGGTATACCACCACACCTGGCTAAATTTTAAAAATTTTGTAGAGACAGGGTTTCACCATGTGCCTGTGCTGGTCTTGAACTCCTGGGCTCAAGACATCCTCCCACCTTGGCCTGCCAAATGCCAGGATTATAGGTGTGAACCACTTCACCCAACCACACCTGTAATTTTTAAGATGCCAACTAAATGGTATCATTCTTGAGGACGAAAAATAGGAAATAGAAAAATGAACTTAAGAAATATAAAAACTTCGACTTAACTGGTTTTATACCTTTCTTTCCA
This sequence comes from Homo sapiens, assembly GCF_000001405.40. NCBI lineage: Eukaryota > Metazoa > Chordata > Mammalia > Primates > Hominidae > Homo > Homo sapiens. Next base: position 109,411,527 of record NC_000012.12, read on the forward strand.
TGAGGGCTTTTCTTCTACAACAAGAGTCTGTACACATGGTAATCATGGTCAGTGATGACTGGTTTAGAGAAAACGAGGTTGGTCATAGTAGCTGTGTGGAGTATCCTTGGGAAGACTTTGAGTCAGATGGTCAGAGTGTTGCCTTTTCATGGGATATTCAGGCCCTCTGGTTCCATGGTCCCCTTATCAAATCTTAGAAGCCAAACACATGGATTAAGCCCTTCTTCCCCCCAGAATGTTCACCTGCACTTACATGAATTGACAGTCTTTTAGTCCAGTACTTTCTGTTCCAGCTGGTGAAAGCATTTAAACTTGGCATTGATGGAGTGTGGTGCTGTGGATTGAGGCTTCTCTTTTTCTTTTGAAGGATGAAGAATGCATTCGGCCTGGTCCTGCTACAGACTTGAGTTTCCTGGAGAAATTGGAAGAGAAAGTGGGCAAACATGCACACTTCGAAACGTACATACTTTATTTTACCAGATTTTGCATGGGGGAAGATGATTGTGTCTCCATTTTCTTTAGTATTTGGATAATGTTCTTCAAGAGAACAACTACTTCATACATAAAAATATCTTTATGTATACCACTCATAGATGTGCCAGACCTTTGTTAGTAGAAATTAAACCTAAATGAATTATAATTTTTTTTTGAGACATGGTCTCAGTCTGTCACCTAGGCTGGAGTGCAGTGACGTGATCACAGCTCACTGCAGCCTCAACCTCCCAGGCTCAAGTGATCCTCCAACCTCAGCCTCCCAAGAAGCCAGGACTACAAACATACACCACAATGCCTGGCTAATTTTTATATTTTTTGTAAAGACAGGGTTTCACCCTGTTGCCCAGGCTGGTCTGGAACTCCTGGCTTCAAGCGATCCACCCATCTTGGCCTCCCAAAGTGCTGGGATTACTGCTGTGAGCCATCGTGCCCAGACACAAGTATGATTTTTTAAAAAGATTTTATATCTTCCTTTATTCAGTGATCATTATATTTTGGACATGTCTATGTACATGAAATAATCTTTTCAAAAATTCAGGTATAAAATACAGTGATATGTGTAGATCTGAAATGTACAACCTGATAAATTTTTGTACTTGTATGTGCCTGTGTAACCACCATGCGGATCAGATATAGAGTACCACATCCCACAAGATCAACTAGACATTTAACTTAGTCTTTGAGGTAAGCAGGAGAGAATTTAAGAGCATATGCTGGAGTCATTAAGACCTGGTTTGTTTGCTTGTTTCTTTTTTGTTTTTTGGTTTTGTTTTGTTTTGTTTGAGATGGAGTCTCACTCTGTTGCCCAGGCTGGAGTGCAGTTGTGCAATCTCTGCTCACTACAACCTCCGCCTCCTGGGTTTAAACGATTCTCCTGCCTCAGCCTCCCAAGTAGCTGGGATTACAAGCACTTGCCACTACGCCCGGCTAATTTGTTGTTGTTGTTGTTGTTGTTGTTGTTATTATTATTATTTGAGACAGAGTCTTGCTCTGTTGCCCAGGCTGAGTGTAGTAGGGCGATCTCGGCTCACTGCAACCTCCACCTCCCGGGTTCAAGTGATTCTGCTTCAGCCTCACAAGTAGCTGGGACTACAGGTGTGCGCCATCACGCCTGGCTATTTTTTTGTATTTTTAGTAGAGGTGGGCTTTCACCATGTTAGCCAGGCTGGTCTCGAACTCCTGACCTCAAGTGATCTGCCCACCTCAGTGTCCCAAAGTGCTGGGATTACAGAAATGAGCCACCATGCCTGGCCCCAAGACCAAATGAATGCTCCTGCATTTGTGTTTTCCCTGCTATACAAGATGGGGGTTATTAACATACCTACCATCCAATTTTGTAAATGATGCCATAAATTGCCTAGTGCAATCTCTGGCCATGGTAAAGACTTAGTAAATGGTGGTGGCTTTCTCAGACCTGTTGTAGAATACTGAAAGGATATAAGTAAATGAAATTGCAAAGGATAAGTACATGAAATTGCATAGTGAATCAAGAATGGAAAAATAAATTGGGGTACATTCACAAATGGAATAATATATCACTGTGCAATGAATAATCTATAACTGCATGCAATGATGTAAGTAAATTACACAAATGAGTACATACTGTGGCCGAGCGTGCTGGTTCATGCCTATAATCCCAGCACTTTGAGAGGCCGAGGCAGCTGGATCACCTGAGGTCAAGAGTTCAAGACCAGCCTGACCAACATGGTGAAACCCTGTCTCTACTAAAAATACAAAAATTAGCCAGGCATGGTGGTACACGCCTGTAGTTCCAGCTACTCAGGAGGCTGAGGCAGGAGAATCGCTTGAACCTGGGAGGTAGAGGTTGCAGTGAGCCGAGATTGCGCCACTGCACTCCAGCCTGGGCAACAGAGCAAGACTCCATCTCAAAGAGAAAAAAAAGGACTACATTCTATATAATTCCATTGCAATGCAATGCATACAACTGGGTAAAAATTCACTTATGCTGCTACATGTCTGGTTGCGACTAGAAAGGGCTCAAAGTGGGGGTTCTCAGGGACTGGTAATGAATGCTCTGCTTCTTAATCTGGGTGCTGGTTGCACAGGCATATCGTTTTCAAAAATTCATTGAGCCGTACGCTTAGAATATATGTGTGCTGTCAATATGTATGACAGATTTAAGTAAAAGTCATTTTAAAAAATCAAGAATCTGGCCAGACACAGTGGCTCACACCTGTAATCCCAGCTGTTTGCGAGACCAAGACGAGTGGATAATCTGAGGTCAGGAGTTCAAGACCAGCCTGGCCAACATGGTGAAACCCCATCTCCACTAAAAATCCAAAAAATTAGCCAGGTGTGGTGGCTTACGCCTGTAATCCCAGCTACTCAGGAGGCTGAGGCAGGAGAATCGTCTGAACTCAGGAGGTGGAGGTTGCAGTAAGCCGAGATCACACCACTGCACTCCCGCCTGGGAGACAGAGTGAGACTCCATCTCAAAAAAAAAAAAAAAAAGAAAGAAAAAAAAAATCAAGAATCTGTAGAAACTGAAAACTGATGTTTTATGAGTATTTTAGTCTCTCAACATTATAAAAATATAAGATTTAAAATTGTTCTTTGTTACATCACCTAGAAAAACAAAAGTTAATTTATTATGCAAATACATGTGTTTCTGTGGCTCAGTTCTATACTTTTATTTCTCAGCATTTATGGGAAGAAAGGATCTAATTTTATTTTTTTATTTTTTGAGACAAGGTCTCACTCTGTTGCACAGGCTGGAGTCTAGTGGTATAATTATAGCTCACTGCAGCCTCAAATTCCTGGGCTCAAGCAATCCTCCCACCTCGGCCTCCTGAGTAGCTGGGACTACAAGGCACATGCTACCACTCCCAGCTAATTCTTTGTATTTTTTTTTTAAAGACAGGGTCTTGCTGTGTTGCCCAGACTAATCTCAAACTCCTGGCCTTAAACGATCCTCCTGCCTCAGCCTCCCAAAGTACTAGGATTATAGGTGTGAGCCACCATGCCCGGCCAAAGGATCTAATTTTAAAGAAATCTTGGTCTATGGCCAGAAAATAAGTAACAAAACTTCCTGGGAGCCTCCCTGTGTGGTGGCTTTCAATGTGGACCTAACTGATTGAAGACGTCTCTCTCTCACTCTTTGCTTCAGTTATTGGTGCCATTTTGTCTCAGTGAAGTAGAAAGTTCAACTCATGGGCCAGGCACGGTGGCTTAGGCCTGTAATCCCAGCACTTTGGTAGGCTGAGGCAGGCAGATCACGAGGTCAGGAGTTCGAGACCAGCCTGACCAACATGGTGAAACTCCATCTCTACTAAAAATACAAAAATTAGCCGGGTGTGGTGGCACCTGCCTGTAATCTCAGCTACTCCAGAGGCTGAGGCAGGAGAATCGCTTAAACCCAGGGGGTCGGAGGTTGCCGTGAGCCAAGATTGTGCCACTGCACTCCAGCTTGGGCAACAGAGCAAGACGCCATCTCAAAAAAGAAAAGAAAAGAAAGTTCAACTCGTGTCTATTTCTGTCTCGTAGCCGTAAGCTGGCTGGTCCAAAGGGCCGAAAGAGGATTGGCTGGATGGAGTTCCGACTCCTCCACTATGCAGGAGAGGTCACATACTGCACCAAGGGTGAGTGGCCGTGGGGTACAGGTGACAGCCATGTATGTGCCCAGCCTGGTGTCTTACAATAAGCTCCGAGTCCATGCAGGAAATGGTGCACAGCCATCCCAAACGTTCCCTAACCTCGCGTTCAAGCCATTTGAAAAAGTCTTTCTAATTGTATTTATTATTTTTGTAAATAACCACTTTATTGAGATGCAATTCACATATCATCCATTTACCCCATTTTAAAATGTACAATTCAGCAGTTTTTAGTATTAATATATTCAGAGTTGTGAAAACATTACCACCATTCATTTTATTTTATTTTATTTTATTTTATTTTATTTTATTTTATTTTATTTATTTTGAGAGAGAGTCTCGCTGTGTTGCCCAGGCTGGAGTGCAGTGGCTCAATCTCAGCTCACTGCAACCTCCGCCTCCCAGGTTCAAGCCATTCTCCTGCCTCAGCCTCCCAAGTAACTGGGATTACAGGTGCCCACCACCACGACCAGCTAATTTTTTTGTTTGTTTGTTTTTGCCATGTTGGCCAGGCTGGTCTGGAACTCCTGAGGCCCACCTCAGCCTCCCAAAGTGCTGGGATTACAGGTGTGAGCCACCATGCCTGGCTACCACCATTCATTTTAGAACATTTTATCACCCCCAAAAGAAATCCTGTACCCATTAGCAGGCACTCTCTGTTTCCCTCTAACCCCACCCCTTCCCCTGTAGCTCAAGGCAACTAGCTGATCTACCTTCCCTCTCTATAGATTTGACTGTTGTTGTTGGTTTTTTTTTTTTTGACATTTTTTATAACTGGAATCATGCAATGTGTGACCTTTTGTGTCTGGTTTCTTTCACTTAACATAATTTTGTCAGGGTTCATCCATGCTTTCATTCCTTTTTATTGCCAAATAATATCCCATGATGTGGATATGCCACATTTTGTTCATGCATTCATCAATAACTCATGGTAGGCACTTGGGTTGTTTATACCTTCTAACTATTATAAAGCTACCATGAATATGTCGGTATGAGTTTCAGTATGGGCATAAGTTTTCATTTTTCTTATATATATACGTAGGAATGGAATTATTAGATTAGATATGGTAACTCGGCCGGGTGTGATGGCTCACGCCTGTAATCCAGCACTTTGGGAAGCCAAGGGGAGCAGATCACCTGAGGTCAGGAGTTTGAGACCAGCCTGGCCAAGATAGTGAAGCCCCATCTCTACTAAAAATACAAAAATTATGTTAAAAATACAAAATTAGCCGGGCGTGGTGGCACATGCCTGTAATCCCAGCTACTAGGGAGGGTGAGGCAGGAGAATCGCTTGAACCTGGGAGGCAGAGGTTGCGGTGAGTTGAGATCGCGCCATTGCACTCCAGCCTGGGCAACAAGAGTGAAACTCCATCTCAAAAAAAAAAAAAATTAGCCGGTCGTGGTGGTGATCGCCTGTAGTCCCAGCTACTTGGGAGGCCGAGGCAGGAGAATTGCTTGAACCGGGGAGGCAGAGGTTGCAGTGAGCTGAGATTGTGCTGCTGCATTCCAGCCTGGGTGACAGAGCAAGACTTCATCTCAAAATAAAAAATATATATGTTAACTCTATGCTTAACCTTTTGAGGAATTGCCAGGTCATTTTCCAAAGCAGCTGCACCGTTTTACATTTCCACCAGCAGTATATGAGGGGTTCCAATATCTCCACAGCCTCAGCCACACTTGCGTTATATCATTCTATATATCTGTTATGTTCTATATGTGATGTTCTGCTCTGTCTCCCAGGCTGGCGTGCAGTGGCATGATCTCGGCTCACTGCAAGCTCCGCCTCCTGGGTTCACGCCATTCTCCTGCCTCAGCCTCCCAAGTAGCTGGGACTACAGGTGCCCGCCACCACACCTGGATAATTTTTTGCATTTTTAGTAGAGACGGGGTTTCACCGTGTTAGCCAGGGTGGTCTCCATCTACCGACCTCGTGATGCACCCACCTTGGCCTCCCAAAATGCTGGGATTACAGGCGTGAGCCACCATGCCCCGCCTATATGTGGTGTTCTTCCAACCGTATTAGTGGGTGTGAAGTGGTATCTCATTGTGCTTTTGATTTGCATTTCTCTAATGACCTATGATATTAAACATGTTTTCACGTGCTTATTGGCTGTTTCTCTTCCTTGGAGAAATGTCTACGCAGATCTTTTGCCCATGTTTTAAGATTGGGTTTTTTTGTTTTGTTTTGTTTTGTTTTTTTTGAGACGGAGTCTCGCTCTGTCGCCCAGACTGGAGTCCGGTGGCGCGATCTCGGCTCACTGCAAGCTCCGCCTCCCGGATTCATGCCATTCTCCTGCCTCAGCCTCCCGAGTAGCTGGGACTACAGGCGCCCGCCACCACGCCCGGCTAATTTTTTCTATTTTGTAGTAGAGACGGGGTTTCACCGTGTTAGCCAGGATGGTCTCGATCTCCTGACCTCATGATCCACCCACCTCGGCCTCCCAAAGTTCTGGGATTACAGGTGTGAGCCACCGCGCCCGGCCTAAGATTGGGTTGTTTTTCATTATTGAGTTGTAAGAATTGTTTATATATCCTAGATACTAGATCCTGATCAGATATACAATTTGCAAATATTTTCTCCAGTTCTATGAGTTGTCTTTTCATTTTTGTGATGGTGTCCTTTGAAGCACAGAAGTTTTTAGTTTTGATGAAGTCTAATTGTTCTTCATTTTCTTTAGTCACTTTTACTTTTGGTTTGAAATTAGTTTTACTTTTTTTTTTCTTTCTTTCTTTTGAGACAAGGTCTTGCTTCATTACCCAGGCTAAAGTGCAGTGGCGTGATCTTGGCCCACTGCAACCTCTGCCTCCCGGGGTTCAAGCGATTCTCCTGCCTCAGCCTCCCGAGTAGCTGGGATTATAGATGTCCGCCACCACGCCCAACTAATTTTTGTATTTTTAGTAGAGACAGGGTTTTGTTTTGTTTTGTTTTGTTTTTTAGACGGAGTCTCGCCTGTGGCCCAGGCTGGAGTGCAGTGGCAAGATCTCGGCTCACTGCAAGCTCTGCCTCCTGGGTTTGCACCATTCTCCTGCCTCAGCCTCCCTAGTAGCTGGGACTACAGGCACCCCACGCCCGGCTAGTTTTTTGTATTTTTTAGTAGAGACGGGGTTTCACCATGTTGGCCAAGATGGTCTCGATCTCCTGACCTCGTGATCCACCCGCCTCAGCCTCTCAAAGTGCTGGGATTACAGGCGTGAGCCACCGCACCCAGCATTATTTTTACTTTTAAATAAGAGTATATTTCTAAGAATCTTTTAAAAAGTAATTACACATACAGGTATTAGGGTTTTTTTTCTTTGAATGCAAAGTGACAAAAAGAAAAAATTTTTAAAAAGGATGAGTCTCTTTGTGCAGATAATCCGTTTATTTTTGTTTAAAGAATAAAGATAATACACATGTAGAGCTATAAACTGCTGACAGCACAGAAAGGAACAAAAGGAAAACTCAAATGCCTTTTACTCTCAGTGTCTCCTTTGGGGGGACCACAATAATAAACAGTTTCTTGTAACTACTTCCAGGAAAATAGAAATGTTTTCTGCATATACCTATGTGAGGATACACACACACACACACACACACACACACACTCACTCATACTCATTCACTCTACCTTGATCTCACTTTTTTCCATGTGTTGGTGGGGAGTTTTCCATGTGCCGGGTGCTAGGCAGATGTGGTGGGGCGGGGGCATCGTGGATAAGGAAATCTGATTCTCTTACCATCTGCTCTGAGTTTTTCTACTTCTCTGTAGCACCAGGAATTGTGTCATCCTCATATTTGGGTTCTGGGATATTTCTGGTAATAATCTCATGGTATATTATTTGATTTTGGCTTTCTGTGGGGGGAGTGAAGCCAGCTTGCTTCTATGCCACCATTTTTTTTCTTAAACACTTTTGATGCATGCCTTTTTAAAATTTTTATTTAATCATTTTTCTGGAAACAGGGTTTCACTTTGTTGCCTAGACTGGAGTACAGTGCGCAATCGTGGCTCACTGCAGTCTTGACTTCCTGGGCTCAAGCAATCCTCCTACCTCAGCTCCCCAAGTAGCTGGGACTACAGGCATGCACCACCACACGCAGCTAAGTTTTTAAAAATATTTGTGTAGAGACAGGCTAGTCTCAGACTCACTATGTTGCCCAGGCTAGTCTCAAACTCCTAGGCTCGAGCTATCCTCCCACCTCAGCCTTCCAAAGTGCTGGGATCACAGGCATGAGACACCATGCTTGGCTGCTCCCCCAACTTAAAAAAAAAAAAAAAAATCTGGTTTTGCCTTTATAATGCCATTTACTTTCTAATGTAATTATTAACTGATTAAGTTTTAGGTAGACAGATAAGCCAAGTTTTAAACCTGGAAATGACATGTCTGTCTTTGCCTGAAGATGCTGTTGGGTACCACCAGCCATGGTGCTTGAGTTTGTTTTTTCTCAGTCGTGGGGAATTTTCTCATCTATTTAGAGTCCCAGCTGGCTGTCCTTGAAGTTCAGTGCCACTCTGTTTCTGTATATTCAGTGTATTTGTGTTTCTTTGCTATTGGACTAGGGCAAGTGTGCAATACTTAGTGTAAAGACTATGCATATTTATACGACAGCTCATCAGGATTGAGTATAGCATTTGTGCCACGAGTTCAGTTCTGAGGACCTGGTTCTCAATGAGGGACATGTTACCCGCCCCCCGGAGGGATATGTGGCAATGTCTAGCATATTAGTCCATTCTCACATTGCTATAAAGAACTACCTGAGATTGGGTAATTTATAAAGAAAAGAGGTTTAATTAACTCAAAGTTCATCAGGCTGTGCAGGAAGCATGGCTGGGGTGGCCTCAGGAAACATACAATCATGGTGGAAGGTGAAGGGGAAGCAGGCATGTCTAACATGCCCGGAGGAGGAGGAATAGAGTGAAGGGGGAAGTGCTACAAACTTTTAAACAACCAGATCTCCTGAGAACTATCATGAGAACAGCGAGGGGGACATCTGTCCCCATGATCCAATCACCCCCAACCAGGCCCCTCTTCCAACATTGGGGATTGCAATTTGACTTGAGATTTGGGCGAGGGCACAGACCCAAACCATATAATCTAGAAATACATTTGGTTGTCACAACTGGGGACAGTGTTACTGGGATCTAGTGTGAATAGAGGCCAGAGATGCTTCTCAACATCCCACAATGCATGGGACAGCCCCCACCACAAAGAACGACCCAGCCCCAAATACCCATAGTGCCAAGGTTGAGAAACTATGAGCTAATCCTAAGAAATTCTTTTTCAGAATTTCCCTTTGCAATGAGTTGGGATGGAATTGTATTTTTAGGCAGAGACATTGATTCAAAAAATTTTTCTTCAATGTTTTACAGGATTCTTGGAAAAAAACAATGATCTTCTTTACAGACATCTGAAAGAAGTAAGTCTGACACTTAACTGTATGTGTTTCTGATTATTTTGAAATATTACCCATGATAGTGATTTTGGTAGAATTCGCCTTCTGGATTTTTTTTTTTTCCATGCATCGTATTAGAACTCCAGCATGTCATGGCCAGAACAGACATTCAGGATCATCTGTGTGGACACTTCACTCAACAAACCATTCAAATGTGTATGATGCCCCCTGGGCACCAGCTCTGGAGGTCATCAGTGAACAAGATGGAGCTCCGAACAAGATGGAGCTCTTATTCTCGTGGGGCTTACAGTCAGGAGTTGGGGAAGCAGATAATAAATATATACACAAATAAGTTATCCATTAGTGAGAAGTGCTGCAAAGAGAATAAACAAGGAACTGTGATTGAAGGGGACATTTTTAATTTAGGTGATTAGAGAAAACACCCCTTGGAGGTGACTTTGAGCTAAAACCTGAATGAGAATGATTTGGGCCATAGAAGGATCAGAAGTTATTCCAGGTAGAGAGACCAGTATGTGCAAAGGTCCTGTGGTCTGGACGAGGGGCAATGTTAGGAGAGGGGGCTGAGAGCTTAGCAGGGGCAGGTCCACAGGGGAAGTAGAGATTTCATTCTGGTGTTATGAGAATATACTGGGGTGACATGATCTGAGGACGAGGAAGCTGAGACCCAGACAGGTCACAGCTTGCACAAGGCCACATCATGAGGTGGGGGCTGGAGATGGTATTAGCCCCCAGGGCTGCCGACGGAATTCCCAATCTCTTTGCCTTTCCATATATCTCATCAATCTGAGAAGTGTTGCTGCTGCTGCTGCTGTTGTTTTTGAGACAGGGTCTGGCTCTGTCACCCAGGCTGGAGTGCAGTGACGTCATCATTGCCCACTGCAGCCTCAGCCTCCTGGGCTCGAGTGATCCTCCTGCCTCAGTCTGAGTAGCTAGGACTTCAGACACACACCACCACACCCAACTAATTTTTTTGTTTGTTAGAGACAGGATCTTGCTATGACGCCTAGGCTGGTCTCGAACTCCTGGCCTCAAGTGATCCTCCCACCTCACTCTCCCAAAGCTGGGATTGCAGGCATGAGCCACTGCGCCATGCCTAAAACCTTGAGTTTTTAAGGCCCCTATTTTGTATTAAAATAGTTAACTGTTTTGTGCAAAATTAGATTTTATTAGCTTGGTTTATTAAAAGCTTAACCCTAAAGGTAACATTTTTGGAGTGAGCAGGTGAACAGTCACCTCAGGAGTGTTTTTTCTGCCTTCCCAAACTTTCTCTGCCACTTCTGGGACTGCTTGTCTCAACCTTTTTGGACTCAAGGTAGACGAGCAACTCCTGACTTTGGATCCACCAGACAGTCGCTCTCTGGGTCTGAGTCCCAGCCCAGCCCCTTCCCTGCTGGGGACCGTGTGGCAGGTTTCCCGTCAGCAAAGTGGGGCTGCTGCTGTCCGCCTCATGGAGTAGCTGTGGAGAACACTGGAGTGGACGTGTCTGGTTAACAAATGGGCGACAGCGTTTCTCTAACAGCTTCCCCTCTGGGGTCATGGCCGTCAGCTTCACAAACCAATCCACGGAGAGGACATCACATAGGAAAGAAGTCTCCAAATCTCTCCCTTCACCCACCAGGGCTGAAGCTCCCTGAACTTTTTGACTTCAGGACGGAACACTTCTCATTTGTTTCTGTACTATTGGCAGATTACTCTTCCATATCACTGTAGGTTTAGAACTGCAATGGATTAAACAACAACAAAAAAATTCAATTAAAAAAAATGGGGTGCCAGGCACAGTGGCTCATGCCTGTAATCCCAGCACTTTGAAAGTCCGAGGTGGGTGGATCGCTTGAGCCCAGGAGCTTGAACCCAGCCTGGACAACATGGTGAAACCCCATCCTTATCAAAAAAAATTAAATTAAAAAATTAGCTGGGTGTGGTGGCACACCCCTGTGGTTCTAGCTACTTGGGAGGCTGAGGTAGGGGGATTGCTTGAGCCCAGGAGGTGGAGGTTGCAGTGAGCTGTGACCGTGTCATTCATTGCACTCCAGCCTGGATGACAGAGTGAGACCCTGTCTTGAAAAAAACAGAAAAAAAAATTTTTTTGAGATGTGGTAAACATACATAACAAAATTTAGCATTTTAATCATTTTATTTATTTATTATTTTTGAGACAGAGTCTCACTCTGTCACCCAGGCTAGAGTACAGTGGCATGATCTCAACTCACTGCAACCTCTGCTTCTGGGGTTCAAGCAATTCTCCTGCCTCAGCCTCCCGAGTAGCTGGGATTACAGGCATATGCCACCACACCAGGCTAATTTTTTTTGTATTTTTAGTAGAGACGGTGTTTCACCTTGTTGGTCAGTCTGGTCTTGAACTCCTGGCCTCAGGTGATCCACCCGCCTTGGTCTCCCAATGTGCTGGGATTACAGGCGTGAGCGACCACGCTCGGCCACATTTTAATCATTTTAAAGTGTACAGTTCAATAGTGTTGAGTAGATTTACATGGTTGCGCAGTTGATCTCCTGAACTCTTTTCATCTTGCAGAACTGAAACTCAGTATCCACTAAACAACTGCTCTCCGTTCCCCCTCCCAGCAGCCACTGGAAATACTGTCTACTTTCTACCTCTATGAACTTCAGTCCTCTAGGGACCTTATATGAGTGGAATCAGACAGTGTTTTTCTTTTTGCAACTGGCTTATTTCACTTAGCTTATTCCACTTAGCATAGTGAGCATAATACTTATTTCACTTAGCGTGGGTTTATTCGTGTTGTGGAATATGTCAGAATCATGCTTTTGAAGGTGGAATAATATTCCATGTTACCTATGTAGGGAAAATATTTTTCTGGTAAAGAATTAAATATTTTAAAAAATTAAGGACTTTTGGTGATATAGATTATTTAAAAAATACACGCACAGGGGCGAAAGTCAAACAGTCCAAAAGCTAGTGCCCTGGGTCCCATGTCAGCAAGTCTCTCGCCCGAGAGTCAACTGCTCTCACCTTTGTATTGTGCGTCCTTCCAGGGACCACACAGGATGTGCGTATGTGTATCTCTTTCTTTCTTTTTATTTCTCTTTGCACAATAATAGCACACTGTATGTGTGGTTTTGCGTCTTGCTTTTTTCACTTAACACCATTATCTTGGAGATCATTCTTTTTTTTCTTTTTGAGACAGGTTCTCAGTCTGTCACTCAGGCTGGAGTGCAGTGGCGCAATCAGAGTTCACTGCAGCCTCGACTTCGTGGGCTCAAGTGATCCTCCTACCTCAGCCTCCTGAGTAACTGGGACCATAGGTGCACACCACCACACCTGGCTAACTTCTTTGTAAAGATGAGGTTTTGCCATGTTGCCCAGGCTGGTCTCAAACTCCTGGGCTCAAGCCATCTTCCTGCCTTGGCCTCCCCAAGTACTGGGATTACAAGCCTGAGCCCCACCATTCCTGGCCTGGGATCATTTCTTAAACAGCCAGTTTATTCTGAAGCAGCTGCACTGAACCAGGGACAATGTCGGAGAAAAAACGTCTGGCTTCAGCAAGCAGAGAAAGCAGTGGATGTAGAATGTGAACATGGCCTTCCATATTTAACTGTGTTGTTCCCCTTTCTTTACATTAGGAACATCTTCAAGCATTCAAGAAGCAGATGGCTCTGTTGCTTCATGCACACTCTGTGAGCCGTCCTGACAGCCCTGTAGTGATTTCTGAAACAGCGAACGTGGTACTCATTTCTCTTCACTTACAGGTGCTGTGCAAGTCCAAGAACATTATCCTGAGGGAATGCTTCCTGCTGGCCGAGTTAGAAAACCGGAGGAGGCCCCCAACAGTGAGTGGGAAAAACACCCATGCAAAATTGGATCTCACCAGAGGGTGAGATGACCACCAACTACCTACGCTTTTTAAGCCACCTTCCCCTTTTCTGGAAGTATTACTCTCTAACAGATTCTACTAAATATATGCACCTGTAATCTCACACCTGTAATCCCAGCACTTTGGGAGCCTCACATCTGTAATCCCAGCACTTTGGGAGGCCCAGGTGGGAGAATCACTTGAGGCCAGGAGTTCAAGACCAGACTGGGTAACATAATGAGACCCTGTCTCTACAAAAATAAAAATAAAAACAAATCAGTCAGACAAAACTTGGGTGCATTAAAAACATAAAAGAAAGAAAGAAAAAATCAATTAGCCAGGTGCAGTGGTGTGCATCCATAGTCCCAGCTACTTTCGGAGGCTGAGGCAGGAGGATCCTTGAACCCAGGAGTTTGAAGTTACAATGAGCCATGATTATGCCACTGCACTCCAGACTAGGTGACAGAGCAAGACCCTGTCTCTTAAAAAATCACTTGGAACGTGGCTTATGATATATACATTAACTTAGAATGTGATATTCATGTTCCAAGTTTAGTCCCAGTTTGTTCATTTGCAGGCATTCATTGAGCAGCACCTACTATGTATATGTGGCAGGCACTGTGCCAGGCACAGGGATTCAGCAATAACAAGCCAGATGAGGTCCCTGCCCTCAAGGGACTTACAATCTAGTGGGAGAGAGTATAAGAAAATACCATCAAATAAAGAAGTTATAATAATACCAGCATCATGAAGGACACGTGTCAACAAAGAAACACAAAGGAAGGTGGAAGAGAATGACAGGCCTGGGGCAGAACTGGTTCCTGCTGGGCACTCACCACGTCTTTGCTGAGCAAGTGAGGCATCCTAGACAGATGCTTGTCCAGCTTCCACGTGACCAGACCAAGACTGGCCTTCTCAGGTCAGGACATCCAAAGCCACCTCTTAATGGGCCAGATGGCCACTAGGAAGACAATCTGTCAATAGTTCAGCTCTATAGGGCTGACACCTTGAGCCCTGGCCAGTCTTTTTGTATTCGTTGGAAGCAGCAGTATCTCTCTGGCTCGTTCTCTCTCTCTTTCTCTCTCTCTCTGCAGGTGGGGACTCAGTTTAAAAACAGTCTGAGCAGCCTTCTAGAAACCCTCATCTCTAAGGAGCCCTCCTACATCCGTTGCATCAAGCCCAACGACAGGAAAGAACCCAGTGAGTTGTGGATCATTATGAACTGGGCTCAGGGAAAGGAGGCTGGGAGCCAAAGCAAGGTGGCAGTGGGTTGGGATCCTAAACACCACCACAAGCTTGCTCGATGTCCTCTGGATGTGAATCATTTTCCTTTCTAAATGATAGAAGTTGGCCAGATGTTACAGGCTTATGCCTGTAATCCCAGCCCTTTGGGAGGTTGAGGCAGGCGGATCACTTGAACCCAGGAATTGGAAACCAGTTTGGGCAACATGGCAAAACCCCGTCTCTACAAAAAATGCGAAAATTAGCCAGGCATGGTGGCGTGTCTCTACTAAACATACAAACACTAGCTGGGTGTGGTGGAACATGTCTGTAGTCCCATCTACTTGGGAGGCTGAGGTGGGAGGATCAATTGATCCCAGGAGTTCAAGGCTGCAGTGAGCCATGACTGTGCCACTGCACTCCAGTATGGGTGACAGAGTGAGACCCTATCTCAAAAAATAATAATAATAGAAGGTAAATGAATGCCTTTGGTGGTTCAGAGTGAGCATTTCTCAGAGGTTGTTCAGTTTCAGGAGCAACACAGCTGAGTCAGGCAGGTGTCAGAGGCGAAGGGAGTCAACGTCACTCTTTTCTAGCCAAGGAACAGTCTTCGAAAATGATCTATGACTTGGGTAGTTTCTAAGCTCTTGCCATGGTCTATAATATAGTTGTTAGGAACCATTATAATGAACTATAATGGACCATCAGAGGCTCACAGAGGCTAGGCAGGAAAAGCAAATGAGTGAAGCAGACAGGTTGAAAGGCAATAGGCAGTGGGGAGGACTGTGGCAAACTGGAGAAGGCACATTCTGTCTAAAGGGGCAACAGCGCTACTCCTCTCCTGCCAGCTGTTGCCATGTGGGACTCTGGCCTCAGGATAGCCAGATCTCAGGACTTTTCAGAGGAACCAGAAATTTAATTTTTTCCTATAAAATTCCCCCATTTAAAAAGCACAATTGGGCTGGGCATATGGTGGCTCATGCCTGTAATCCCAGCATTTTGGGAGGCCGAGGCGGGTGGATCACCTAAGGTCAAGAGTTCGAGACCAGCCTGGCCAACACGGTGAAACCACGTCTCTACTAAAAATACAAAAATTAGCCAGGCATGGTGGTGTGCACCTGTAATCCCCACTACTTGGGAGGCTGAGGCAGGAGAATCACTTGAACCCAGGAGGCAGAGGTTGCAGTGAGCCGAGATTGTGCCACTGCACTCCAGCCTGGGCAAAAAGAATGAAACCCCATCTCAAAAAAAAAAAAAAAAAAAAATTAAGACCTCACGAAATGAGTCTGGGGCCAGACCCAGCCCACTGAACTTCAGCTTGCAGCCTGTGATCTGCCTTGGTTGATATGAAGCCATGGGATCCTTTCCTGTCATTCTCTGTTCTATTTCTCCAAAGGCAAATTTGATGACTTCCTCATAAGGCATCAGATCAAATACCTGGGGCTGATGGAGCACCTGCGGGTGAGACGGGCTGGTTTTGCATACCGAAGGAAATACGAGCATTTCTTGCAAAGGTAAAATGTGCTTTATTGATCTGAAGCCAATAGTCATGTGCCTACTACATGAGAATCTCTGGGGTTTAGTGGTAAATAAAATGGCATCCCTTAGGAAGGCTCAGTTTGGTTGTTAACTGCTGTAGTTATGACAGCTAAAAACACTAACATTTGGGAGAACATAAAAACCCAACTCTGGCTGGGTGCGGTGGCTCATGCCTGTAATCCCAGCATTTTGGGAGGCCGAGGTGGGAGGATTGCTTGAGGCCAGGAGTTCGAGACCGTCCTGGGCAACATGGCAAAACCCAATCTCTACAAAAAAAAAAAAAAAAAAAAAAAAAAAAATATATATATATATATATATATATATATTAGATGGGTGTGGTGGTACACACCTGTAGTCCCAGCTACTCAGAAGGCTGAGGTGGGAGGATCACCTGAGCCTGGGAGGTTGAGGCTGCGGTGAACTTGAGATCGTACCACTGCACTCCAGCCTGGGTGACAGAATGAGAACCATCTCAAAAACAAAACAAAACAACAAAAAAAAAAACTCACAAAAATTCAGTTTACCATCTTCTGTTCATTTCACTAATCCCTGACTGTTTACAGTCAAGGGCAAGGCCAAGTGCGTAGATCTGCCACCAGGGGGCAGCCGTGGGCAGTGCCCCACAGGCCTCTGAATTAGCAGGAGAAGCTAAGTCCATTTGTGACCGTAGGGCCTGGTTTAGTGCCTTAGCGCAACGGGCTGTCAAGAGCAGCAGGTTAGCGGTGGGGACATGGGTTTTCAAACCACATGAACTTGGATCATAATCCTCATTCTCTTATAGCTGTGACCTGTCATTTCCCTTATCTGTAGGATTAAATTGTCTGGGATCAGGGAGTTTGTAAAGATTTAATGAACTATTTCTACGCCTACTCTCACCATCCCCCAAATTGCTTATACACCAACACTTCTTCAATGATGGGCTGTGTGTGAATTTATGCTACCAAAATAGCAACACACTCTCAAGCATAATAAATGGTCACTTTGTTGGGTCAGAATGGTTGAATAGCAGAAATTTCATGTGGTTCAACCAATATTTTGAGTGTAGTCATTTGAGACTCTTTGCCTTTATTTTTCCTGGATGTACCTCCTTTGCCCACCATTTTTGCCCATCCGCTACTTATTCATTCATCTTCATCCCAAATCTGACTTCTGCGGCAGATGGCAGGGCAACAGCCACTGCCCACCTCACCCCCCTCCAAACATATACACACTTGATGTTCCCATCTACCTGTGTTTTTTTGAACTTCATACATCTCTTGTCTATTTTTGCTGCTTTCTGAGGCTCATTCATTCTTTCCATAAAATCTAGTGAGCAGGCCGGGCATGTTGCCTCACACCTGTAATTCCAGCACTTGGGGAGGCCAAGGTGGGCAGATCACTTGAGGTCAGAAGTTCAAGACCAGCCTGACCAACATGGTGAAATCCTGTCTGCTAAAAACACAAAAATCAGCCAGGCATAGTGGCGCATGCCTGTAATTCCAGCTACTCAGGAGGCTGAAGCATGAGAATCATTTGAACCCGGGAGGCAGAGGTTGCAGTGAGCTGAAATCACACCACTGCACTCCAGCCTGGGTGATAGAATGAGACTCTGTATCAAAACAAACAAAAACTGGTGAGCAGCTATCTGAGCTAGCACTGTCCTAGGTGCTGGGGTGATGTCAGAGAACAGAACAGACCCCATCCCTGTCCTCATGGAATTTACTTTCTATGGGGGAGACCAACAATAACAAAGACGTAAAGTTGGCCCTCCACACCCGCGGGTTCCACATCTGAGGATTCACCCAACTATGGATTCAAAATGCTTTTAAAAATACAATAAAAATAACAATACAACAATAATAATACAAATTAAAAAGCAATATAGTCTAATATCTATTTATGTAGTATTTACATAGTATTAGGTATAATAAGTAATTTAGAGATGATTTAAAGTGTACAGGAAGATGTACTCAGGTTATATGCAAACACTATGCCATTTTTTATTAGAGACTTGAACATCCGTGGATTTTGTATCCATGGGGGTCCTGGAACCAATTCCCCACATACGATGAGGGGTGACTGCATAAGGCCAGGCAGGGATATGTTATTTGAAGAAAAGTGAATCCAGGTAAGGGGAAAGAGTGGCCAGGCTCCCTCCTTAGGTAAGGGGGTCACTCTCTGAGTGAGGAAGTGAGCCATGAGGACATTTGGTGTCTTAGTCTGTTTGGGCTGCT